>NC_000010.11:84840064-84991580 GCF_000001405.40 Homo sapiens
ATTTTGTGCTGGGCTCCTCCATCCACTGCTGCTGTCTTTATTATTTTCTTTGTGTTGTGCATTTGTTCGTATGTCTTCTTTATGCAGCACAACCTCCCCCTACCTAGACAGCTCCTTCTTTCTACACATGGTATAAATTATTCATCCCATAAGCCATCTCACATTTACTTAACTTTTTTTCTTTCTTCTAGTCTGTCTTCTGTTGCGTGGCACTTTTTAAAGAATTCATAGTAAAGGTTGGAACATAATATTCTTGTTTTTAACAATTAAAGTGATTATTTCACATTAATGAGCATTCTTATATAATCACCCAGGTGTGATTAAAACACAATAATTTTACACTCCCCTTTATTGAATATGAGAAATATGAGAAGTTCTTGCTTTTTAGCTTATTTCTGTAATTCCTGTTTCTTCCCCATTCTTTGCTCATCTAACTTGACTTAAATTGTTGATTTTTTTTCTTGCATGGTTTTTTTTTTTTTTTTTGAGATGGAGTCTCGATCTGTCACCCAGGCTGGAGTGCAGTGATGTGATCTCTGCTCACTGCAACCTCCACTTCCCAGGTTCACACCATTCTCCTGCCTCAGCCACCCAAGTAGCTGGGACTACAAGCACCCGTCACCACGCCTGGCTAATTTTTTGTATTTTTAGTAGAGATGGGGTTTCACTGTGTTAGCCAGGAATGTCTTGATCTCCTGACCTCATGATCCACCCACCTCAGCTTCCCAAAGTGCTGGGATTACAGGCGTGAGCCACCGCACCCGGCCTCTTGCATGATATTTTTGTTTTAAAATTAGTATAGTTATACCTCTTGGCAAAAACGGTTGTCTTCTGTTTATGCTCATCTTGATTTTGTTCTGGGCTGGATAGTTTTTTTACCTGTTTATCAAAATAGTCTCCAAGGCAACATTGCTTTAATTCAGCCCTTAGCCTTCTGGATAATTGGTTGACATATTTCTTAGGTTAATGTGAACACTTTCTTCTCTGCAAGCTTTACTTACCAATGCTAGTTTGATTCCATAGTGTAGCCATTGGGTCAAAACATTTCCCCTTTAGGTTTTCTGAAAATTAAATTAGGTCAGTTATAAACTTTTGTGGCCCCTCTGTGATGGTTTATTTTATGGTTTATGTGTCAATTTGAATGGGCCAATGGGGTACCCAGATATCTGGTAAAACATTATTTCTAGGTGTCCGTGAAGGTGTTTCTGGGAGAGATCAGCATTTGAATTGGTGGACAGAGAAAAGCAAATGGCCTCCATTGATGTGATGGGCATGATCCAATCCACTGAGGGCCTGATTAGGACAAAAAGGTAGAGGAAGGTTTGATGCTTGAGCTGGAACAAACATCTTCTGTTCTCAGTGCTCTTGGTTCTTAGGTCTTAAGCTTCAGATTGAAATTTCTACTATCAGACCATCAGCTTTCCAGCTCTCAGTCCTTCACACTACACCATGGGCTTTCCTGGGTCTCCAGCTAGCAGAGAGCAGATTATGGGACTTAGCCTCCATAATCGTGTGAGCCAATTCCTAATAATAAATCTCTTTTTACACACACGCGCATGTGCACGTGCACACACACACACACTCAGAGTCATCCTTGGTATCTATGCAGGATTGGTTCCAGGATCCCCCTCTGATGCCAAAATCTGTGGTGCTCATCCCTTATATAAAATGGTGTAGTAGCCAGGCCCGGTGGCTCATGCCTGTAATCCCAGCACTTTGGGAGGCCGAGGCGGGTGGATCATGAGGTCAGGAGATCAAGACATTCCTGGCCAACACAGTGAAACCCCATCTCAACTAAAAATACAAAAACTTAGCCGGGCTTGGCGGCACATGCCTATGATCCCAGCTACTTGGGAGGCTGAGGCAGTAGAATCGCTTGAACCTGGGAGGCGGAGGTTGAAGTTAGCTGAGATCGGGCCACTGCACTCCAGCCTGGGTGACAGAGCAATACTCCATCTCAAAAAAAAAAATGTGTAGTATTTTCATATAACCTACATGCATCTTTCTGTATGCTTTAAATAACCTTCAATTACCTATAATACTTAATACACTGTAAATGCTATATAAATAGTTGTTATATGCTGTTGTTTTCTATATGTATTATTCTATTGTTATTTTTATTGTTATTTTTTTCTGAATATTTTTGGTTTACAGTTGGTTGAATCTTTGTGTATCTGCAGGCCTACCATATAGACATCCTATTGGTTCTGTTTCTCTAGAGAACCCTGACTAATACACGCCCACCTTTGTCAATTAAAAAAACAAGGTGCCTTCCTATTACTGGAAACCTATCAGGAAAATTTATTTATGCAGCCTGAGACCTGTGGCACCAGCAGGTGTGAGTGTTACTTTTTCATAGGAATGGGTAGGATGAGTGGACTGTTGCCCACTTTCCAGTTCCTTGAAGTTTCTTTAATTGTAAAATGTGAGGAAAGCTTGTATGATCTGCTACAAGCCCCTCTGCTTAGAATCATGATTGCTTGAGTTTTATTTTTCTATCAAAGAATAAGAAGAAATTTTCACTTCATGCCCCCAAAATAGTTTTATGATTGGAAGGCATCTGTGGTCCATCTAATTTAATTTAATTTAACTTTTTGCCCCAAGAAATTGTTAAAAAGCCTTGGAACATATGCTTTCCCATCTCTTCCCTGAGTGTAATCCCTGGGTCCCTGGGTTATGTCAACAGAGACTCTGCTGCCAACCCTTGGCAACTCATTTCTCATCTGTTCCTTTCACCAAGGAGATTACCAGTTTGGCTCTGGATCTTGTAAATAATTAATGATCCCTCTTCTGGTAGAGGGCAGAAATGCTGCATGTAATATCTGGGCATTAATGCACACCAATTTTGAATGGGAACAAAAGGAGAATGGCACCCTTGGATTGGTGTTTCCCAGGTAGGGGAGTCCATTGGTTCCTGGTGCACTTTGCAGCACTCTCGGAGTCAGCCATTCTCTAACTCTGGTGGGTGTCAGCATCACCAGGAAAACTCAGTAAACATACAAAGCCCAGGACCTATTCTATGTTAATGTACCTGGGCCTCTCTGTTTTGTATTAAGTTCCCCAGGTGGTTGTGATACATCCCAAGTCTGAGAACCACTGCTAAATCATAAGGATGTTCCATTCTGTCTTATCAGCTCTCTGATGAATTTCACCTTTCCTGAACACCACCATGATCTACCTTGTAAGTGCTCCCAAGAACCCTCGAACACTCTAATCCTCTTGATTTTTCTTGCCCCCAAACATCCTAAGAAGTTTGTTTGAAACTCTGATTCATAGGCATCAAAGAATCTCCTTGTTTTTATGTCTTTCCAGATGTGAATGGCTGAGTCCTGTGCTTGTGTCTTCTCTGTCTAGGTCTGCTGTCAGCTTTCTCTTTCCATATTTGTGTGCACTGGCAGGGGCTCCCCAATGATACCTGGCATACTGTGGTGACTTTGCTGCCCTTATTGAAAATTTATTCTCTTTTTGCAATTTTTGTTTCCTTTAAGCTCTGTGCCAATGATGTCATTATTCTTAACCTTCCACCCCTACTTCCCACCCATGCAGTCTAGTCTCAAACCAACAGCTAGCACAATCCATTGAAAATATGTGTCCTCAAACTTTCCAATGACTACACATGATATGCCCAGACTCTATCCCCGGTTTTGAAATAATTTGGTACCCGATGTATTTCTTTCCTTCCCTGTCTACATATCCCCCCTTGGTGTAGTGGATGCTGTGATGTGTGGCCCAAATCCCACTTTAGGGCTGAAATTATTACTTTCTGTGGCTGTCAGGCCCCTGTGAAAGTTGCCTACAGATGGAGAAAGCTGCTTCTTCCAAGGCCATGCCCACTTCCTGGGGCAGATATATCCCACAACTGGGGGATGAATGGGCATGGAGCCTGGCCTCCTTGCCGAAAATCAAGACAACCCTGAAAAGCCATACTAATTTGAGGAGCTGAGTCCTCTGTTGAAATTATATCATGGCCCAACTTCTTTTGTTCAGTCTTATTTCTTCCCCTTTCTCTTTATGTGTATTGACCTGAGAATACTCTCTAAATAAATTGCTGGCACGATAATCTCATTCTCAATGTCTGCCTTGCAGGGATCCCAGTCAACGTAGTTGATCACTTTTCTCAGCCCTTGGCTCCCTTGCTTGGCTCAAATGATGCCAGGCATGAGAGCACCTCAGGGCCTTTGCATGAGCTCTGTCTTCTGCAGTTTCGCTCTCCCTTTGCATAGCATGATGGCCAGCTTCCTCACTTCAAGCCTCTGGTCAAATACCACCTCATCAAGCAGGCCTTTGAGGCCTCCCTGTGTAAAAGGAAAACCCTTTGCTCATTACCTTGTTTTATTTCTTTCGAACCCATATGAGCATCTGACACAAAGATTTTCTGCTTTACTATGTCTTTCCCTATCAGTATGTATGTCCCATGGAAATATTTAGTTTATTACTCTTTTGCCAGTGTCTGGCACAGAGTAAAAACCAAATAAATATTTGTTGAAAGAATGAATAATGAGAGAATTATATTTGCTTTCCTGCTTTAAGTCTGCAAGTACTTTCTCTTTCCATACTTTCCCCTGTTTGGCTGTAGTTTGATGTCCGGGATTTCCAACTGGAGACAGCATACCCTGTAGTATGTTCTTGACTAGCTGATTTAGTTGCTTGGGAGAAGTCGGGGAGATAGGATTTTTGGAAGAATGCCTGGATAAAGCCCATGTTCCCAGGAGAGAGGGGGAAATAATCTGGCTTGTTCCTTTTTAAAATTTTTTTAGGAAAAATTTTCCTCTGCTATATTTGAGCTGTCATATATCAAAGCACCGGACACTGACCTCTGTGTCTGTAGACCTTTTGCCTTTAACCTCATCACTATCTGTTATGTGTGAATTACAAGCAGAGGGGTTGAACTGTCATTCACAGTGATTAGCAGCCCTTTGGCCATAGGATTACACATCCTCATTTTGGAGGACCAGTTACTTACTGGTGAATGTCCCCAATTCACTAAGTCACTGAATGCACACTTACATATTTCTCTAATGTTTAAAAATCCTGCTGGGCGCAGTGGCACACGCCTGTAATCCCAGCACTTTGTGAGGCCGAGGCCGGGGGATCACCTGAGGTCGGGAGTTTGAGACCAGCCTGACCAACGTGGAGAAACCCCGTCTCTACTAAAAATACAAAATTAGCTGGGCATGGTGGCACATGCCTGTAATCCCAGCTACTCGGGAGGCTGAGGCAGGAGAATGGTGTGAACCTGGGAGATGGAGGTTGCAGTGAGCCGATATCGTGTCATTGCACTCCAGCCTGGGCAACAAGGGCGAAACTCTGTCGCAAAAATAAATAAATAAATAAAAATTAAAATAAAAAAAAATCCTCCTTCACTAAAATAATGAATACAAAGCCCTTGTACGAAAACTTTTCAATTAACAGAATGAAACTGAGCAAATCCTAAACTTGCACTTGCCCTGTGCTTGACAAGTTTTTGTTTATTTGTTTGTTTTCCCACATGGGAATACAAGACCTGAACTTTCCTTTCCCACTGTGGTTGGACAACAGTGTGAGGGAAGCCATCCAGTCCTCCCTGTGATTTTGGGAAGATCTTGATTGTGAAGGGCTGTTTGTAGACCCCATCAGAGGTGCCCAGGTAAATGAGCAGTGTCTGATTCAATTAACTGATAAGAATCCATTAGCACATCCAAGCCATCTTGTTTGAACACAGAGCACTGTGTACAAATAACCACCAGGGTGGCTGTCACTTCTTACTGGAGAAATCTGAGGCTCCTGTGTGTGCCACAGCCCAGAAGGTGGCACCATACACATATAAGGGACAATTGACTTTAAAATGCCAATGAGCCCTATGCAGGTAGCAATCTGTGAGAAAAAATCCTCTAATTGGATGGCTTTAATAGCAGAACCCACTTTTTCTGTGTCTGGCAGGCCTTCCGCTTTGAGAAGGTCAGGGCTTTCACAGTCTGCATATTTTTCTCTATTGCCCAGTGTGTTGGGGAGAACTCGAGTATGGGAGTTGGCCTACTTCATTTGAAATCTTGACTTTGCCATTTATAAGCTGCATGGCCCTGAGTGTAGTATTTAACCTTGGTTTTGCTCAATATAATTTAGGATTAATAAGAACTCTGTCATCAGGCTCTGAGGACTAAATGAAATAAAGTTCACTGAGTGTGTTACATACTGTCAGGTCTGCACACTTCCCCTTTGCATTAGAAAAGGGCACCGTTCTTGGCTGACACAGCCCCTCAGACTGGCATGTGAGTGGAAAGTGGGCTGGAATGCAGCCAGCTCCTATCAGCCCAGGGACCAGGCACTCAGGTGGAAGTCCTACCTCTAACCTCTCCCTACCTTACCTGGGGACTGGTGAGCCTGGAGTTTGTTGTGACTTAGATGACTAGTCATGGCAAGCGTTACTTCCCAGGGGGACAGATTCTGGTGCAATGTTACTCCTTTGGAAGAAGATGAAAGATAACCATGAAGTTTAAGACCTACAGCCTTAAAGGTACAAGAAGCATGCTACAGAGCCAGACTGAAAGAAAGAAATGCATAAATGAATATATCAAATTGATCTTTGTTCAATCATAAATTGAACAAAGAATTCTTAGAAATTGGAAGTGGAAGCTTAGCCCCAAAGTGGGAAGTTTTACCTGCTTGGAAAATTGAATTTGTTACCCTTTGGGATAGTGAAGTTCCTGGATAGCTTAAAGGAGTGTCTAAAATGTGGGTCCCTGTAAATGATGACTGTGAGCAGTAGAGCTCTAGCAGTGGGGACACGTTGCCATGGAAACCCTGAAGCTGGAAGCTCCTCAGGGCCTCAGAAAGGCTGTCAATTAGATCCATACTCTTGGGGAGTTTAATGAAAACAGACACTTGTCATTTTTTTAGCAGCCATCTAACATTATATACATTTAAAATATTTCCATGGAAAGAAAAGCCTGCCGTTAAGTTTAGCTGTTTATTTTAAGAGAATTCCCTTGTGTGGCTTTGACAGGGCAGATTTTTTTTTTCCTTCTTTCTTCACATTAAAGGAGAAAAGTGAGGCCCTCCAGTGTTTAGCAGAAACACAATTAGGAGAGTCACTGATGGTGGTTCATTCAGGCTGTTCAAGAGGCGCTTCAGTCCTCCTGCCCTTATTTACATCACAGTGGGGATGGGTGGTCCTACTGGCCCCTTCATGTTGTTGCCTCTCAAACTAGATCCCTCAGACTTCTTTGGAATTGTGCACCTACGCTGACTGGCTGGTAGGCACTTTTCTTTTAATGGGGCAGCTTAGGAAAGAAATCTTCATTAGATATCACTGTCTTCAAATGTCACGTGCTGAAGAATAAGGAATCATATTAGACTGACTTGCCATCTGAGGCCGGCTGCTGGGATCTGACTCTCCCCAAGAACACAAATCAATAGTCAACACAGAAACCACACTCCAAAGAGAAGCTGGTTCCAAGAGTGGCTATTACTATTTGCTTTCAATTGAATGTATGTATGTAGATATGTATGTGTTTATGTATTTGTTTATTTTTACCTAAATATGCCATTTTTGAGTTGTATTTTGCAGAAGAAACATATATATCTTGTATCATGGATATGACTGACTGTGAGATGGGAACGCTTTTTCAAACTAGACTGGGAACAGAGGCCCTGGTGGTCATGAACAATGTCAGGCGCATACAAAGAGCTGAAAGCCCATTCCAATCAAGTCTGTCTTTGCCCAACCCATTAGGCAGTCAAATGACAATTGAAAATCCAGTTCCCCACATTGAGAATCAAAGACTGGTGTCTCCTTGACTTCTGAGCCCAGGGCATCCTACTCTTTTTACTTTCCTTTTAAATGTCAAATCATAAGTAGGTCAACAGAAACCAGAGTGTTGTTACTTCTCCAGTTAAGTTTGGCTCATAAGAATGTAGCAAACTTTACTACATTTGGTTTTTAGCAATATTTGAAAATTGCATTTTATCGTTTGGATCTGCTAATTATCACATCTCTACTTGTGGCAAAGAAACTAACAATATTGATATGGAAAAGCACAGATATTGCTCGGCCTCACTGATTGAATCGGTGGGCGGTGGGGGGCGGTGGGCAGTAATCATACAGATTCCCAAAGTATGTATATTTTGTGGCCCTGGATAAAGATTATTCTAAGAAACCCCTTCTTGGTATAGTTACAGTAATTGTGGTAATTAGCACAGTAAAAAGAAGAAACATCAAGCCCTCATCAGATATCTGTCCCCACACAGCTCTTTCCTCTATTATCACACACTGCAAATGGTGGTTGGCAGAATGATTATACACATCATATGTATTAAAGTGGGAAGTGTTGAACAATGGTCAGAATGTAAGACTTAACATGGGGCCCAGCCACTAATTAACTGTCTGATCTTGGGAAAGTCATTTGTACAGCCTGGCTTTCAGTTTTACCACCTATAATATAAGAAAGCTGAACTAATTGATCACAAGTTTTCTTTTTGATTTTCCAGGTGCAAAGCCTCCCATTTTGCCTTGAGGACCATAGCAAATACCTCCTTTCTGGATGGACAAGGGAGACCCTTGTCAGCAAGAATTGTGCTACAGTCTCCCAGCCTAACCACAAGGACACACAAGGACTAGAACATTCGCTCTGCTTCTACACAGCATTGGCAAGAGTTTGAACACCTCTTTCTCAAACCAACAGCAAGAGTTGCCCAGGAAGTGCATTCACTAACATACTCCCCTAAATATTCTTGTGTGAAAAGAAGAGATATGTTGCCATGAATGGGTCTTTCAGTTGGTATTTGTAGGACTGCAAAGTTGCAAAGCTGGCAACATGGTAATAGCTTAGAGTGTTAAATTTTGTGATTTACTACTTGATATGGTAGCACAAAATTAGAACTACAAGAAGAATAAAGGCTTGGTCACCTTACCTGTAAGATCTACTAATGACAATAACTTTATAGAGAAAATTGCTCCTCTTTAAGCAATGCCTCATCTGACTTGATGCTCTCTGCTGCAGAAGGTGAAATTGCAACAATTACAAACTTGATCTTGGCTGTGACCCCTGAATTGACCTTTTGAAGGAACCTGGATTATGTCTGAATCTATTATCTCTGCAAGGAGACCAGCTGTCTTCAGAATTGCTTTTGGGGCCCCGTAATGTCATCGTGAAATTGCAGTTAGTAATCTTGCCAACAATTTCCAGATTTGGTGCAGATAAGCTTGAACACATTTGACTCTTTGGTTTCCAATGTTATTTAGAGAATTGGATGACTTAAAGCATTTATTTTTTTCAACTCAATTCTTATCATAATCCATCAACATCACTGTGTTTTTATTCTCTATTTCATTTTTATATGATCCTATTAGTTGAGAGAAACACAAGTGACATTTTTCTTTCCTATGGCCTTGTCTCCTTTTTGCCTTTGCTAGAACTCAGAGATCATATACCTTTTACTAAATTAGAATTCAGCCATATCCTCTGACCAACAATTTTCCTAGCACTGATCTTCTTCACTGAGTTTTGTTAGGGATGAAACAAAGGCAGTTCTTTCTGCTCCATGCAAATGACATTTGCAACCTGTCCCTAAATCACAGACCGGAAATGCTTCTCTTAGATGACTGAGGCTGATACTTTTGAAATGTGCTGCACTCCAGGTACCTTTGTGCTGTCTCCAGGAAAATGAAAGTGAGTTTTTGGATTGAGAGTGAGTCAAGCTTCCAAGCTGTTAAGGAGCATGGGTTTGATGTGGCTCCATCATGGCTATGTGGTAACTCAGCAGAAGTGTCATTCAGGATGTGTGAAGGGCATCAATCTCAGAGACTTGGCTGCCTCCCTTTAGGTTTCCAGATGAAACTGACACTCTTTGTTGTCAAGGAGCCAGTGGTGCTGAATGACCTTACACCAAAGGGGGTGCTGGCCTGCTTTGGGGGCATTTCTGCTTCTCCTCAATTGCTTGCCTCGATATAAGAAAGTTCACTGATCATGGGCCAGTATAGAAGTGCAGAATTTACTTTATCCATGTGGGGTCATATATAAATTCCAGATTCCTCCTGTACAATTTATTTTTTTGTTTGTCATAGCAGTAGACAGAAAAATGGTAATCAAAGTACCAGTCATTCATTCCAATTTGACAAAACACTCATTAAGACTCTGCTGCACTGGGATTGGTGAGGGGATTAAGAGATAAGACAACCCCTGTGTATTTGGTGCCATAACTTGAGTGGATTTGATGTGAGACATGCTGGGACTTAGTGGCATGTGGGGAAAGGGAAGGAGTCAAAGTGGGGAAAGGGAGGGAGTCAAGGCTGAAATTACGGATGTGAACTTTCTGTGGGATATCTCTCTCTCAACAGGTGGCCAGCATTGGATTCTATTGCATGGAAGGTATTCCAGTACCTTGTACTTAGTATTCAAACGAATGTAACTCTAGGCAAGGCTGATCTTTGATGTTCTATGTATGGGAATATCTTGAACTACATGATTTGTTCATGCAGACATGGCCCCTGCTACTAGTTAGGTCTAGTGAGCCAGGACTCTGTTTCCTGAAACAAGGACCAATGTGGGTTATATATATTGTTATCATCCTGTTCAAATAAGTAGGAGTTTGGGGCATGGTTTCATTGCAGTGATCACTCTATGCTCTTTCATATATTTACTTCACTTGGTTTCTGGTACACCAAATGCCTTGAGTTTTTTTTTTTTTTTCTCTTACCTTAATAGTCAATCTCCTCATTCTCCCTTACTGGTTCCTCATTCTCTCCTGACCTTTTAATGCTGGAATGCCCCTGAGCTCAGTACTTGATTCTCTCCTCCTTGTTGACACTCACCCCTTTATTCAGTCTCTTGGCATTAAAGGGCATCTATATCCTGACAACACTCAAATGTCCATTTCTAGCTCAGGCCTCTGTCCTGAACTGCAGACTTACTGAGCCTGCAGCCTAATCCGCATTCCACAGTGGCGTCTCAAACTCAACAGGCTCACACGGAACTCCTTTCCACCTGCTCCTTCTGCAACTTTCCACGTTGCAGTTGATGGCAAACCTGATCTTCCAGTTGCTCAGGGAAAGAAGCCATGAAGCCATGTTGATTCCTCTTTTTCTCGCACACAGGACATCCAATCTGTCGGGAAATGCTGTTGGCTCTCCATCTGGAATATATTCAGAGTTGAAGACTTTTCACCACCTCTTCTAATATCACCCTTGGGTGAGTTATCAACATCTCTGGCATGGAATATGCCAATAACTTCCTAATTGCCTCTTGCTCTGTCCCTCCTGCATAATTTCAATTCTATAGCCAAAATTATTCATATAATACTGAAACTGACCCTATAAACTTTATAAAATTAATCAGGGAAGAAGAGAGTGGGAGAGATGAAACTAAACTCAACTTGCAGCACACTCAGCATTAATCACTAGGTCAGCCTGTGCCCTGACCTGCTTCCTCGTGGTTGCCTGGTGCCTCCTGTCCTGGAATCACATAGATCCTAGATTATAGTTCCCTCTTAACGGTTCTATGGGTAACAGTTTGAATGTTATAAAACATTATCTTTGAGCTATTCCTTCAGGTCCTGCATACTGATGAAACTACTGACTCTGCTGGTCTCTAGGACCTCACAAGGAGCTGACTCACCTAAGAATGCAGTTTCCATGTCCTGATAATTTCATTCCCCGTACTGTGATGAATTAATAACCCCAATTTTCCAGCCTCTCACCTTCCATGATCCCCTTAAAAACCCTAGCCCAGAACTTCTTGGGGAGATGGATTTGAGGGTCTCCTCCCTTCCCCTTGCTCAGTACCCTGCAATCATTAAACCCTCTCTCCGATGTAAATCCTGCTGTCTCAGTGTAATTGGTCTGTTACTGCATAGCAGGCATACAAACCTGTTGGTCCTATAATAATACCTAAGCCAGTCATGCCACCCTTTAGAAACCTTGCAATGACACTATTTCATTCTCATTTAAAACCAGTGTCCTTATGAGAGACTAAATGGTCCAGTCTTAGTGACCTCTCAGACCTGAAGCCTTCAGGCTCAGTGGTTCCACTCCATCTCCCTGGCCCCTGCAGCCCTCAGACAGGCTCCTACTTGTCTCTGCACTGGTCATATCTTCCGTTTTCCTCCCGTTATCTGCATACTTACCTCCCTTACCTCCTTCTTGTCTTTACTCAGAGGTCACCTTCTTAATGTGCCCTGCTCAGATCACCCTATTTTAAATTGCAACCTGCATCCACCCTCCCCACCACCCTTCTTTGGCAGACATCCCTGATTGCTGGTACCTTGCTTGACTTTTTTTCTTTTTTTTTTTTTTAAACCATAGAAATTGTCATTTTCTAACTTACTATTTCTTCGCTTATTTACCGTGCTTATTGTTTGTCTCCTTTCGATCCTCCTCTCCTCTTCTCACAGTATAATGTAAAGTCCACGTGGTTAGGGATTTTTATTAATTTCCTTCACTGTTGTGTCGTAAGTGCATTGAGAAGGATGTAGAAAATGGTGGGCCCTCAGCACATTTGTTGAATCCAGAAATTCTGTGCCTTCATAATAAGTGTATTCAAAATAAGTGCCTTCATAATAAGTGTATTACTTTCAAATACTGGAAAATTCAGAGTTCCAGTTTAGAAGGAATTGGTCAATGGATTCCTAACTCACTTGTTTTTGCTCAGCCCTGGAATATATTCTGTCATATTCTACTGCAGAATTTCCATGTAATTTACAAAAATGACATCACTCATTCTCTTCCCTACCCTAGGAAAAAAGACACTGAGGGAGAATCAGACCCTTACTGAATGACTTACACCTCGTTTTGGTTATCTTAGGAATTCTTGGAAATTTCATTCTCCACATTAAACTAACATAAGCTATTTCAGCCCTGACATGCTAGGTTTAGACTATTTGAGATAACTGACTATCACTGAGATATGCCAGTTGAGTGAGCCACCTGAAGTCCTAGCACTCCTCTTCTCTGGCATTATCAGTGCCATGAAAAAGCCACTTTGTCACATCCTTCATTACAAAGACTTATGTAAGCGTCTTTCTCCCTGGAAAACAGAATCTTGTATCTTGCCCATTCCTTCATGTAGAACACCAAAAGGGCATGTACCCCAGTGCTTGGAAGCATCAGATTCAGAATTTCTTCAAGATGAATCAAGATAAGGAAATAACATTAACCCCAACTCTTCTCTTCTCTAAGAATAAAACAAAGTGAGACTGTACTGGTATTTAAGAGCAAATTCTCACATGACTTTGCACTTAGGGGGTGCTCCATTGGGAATTTCAAGCACTAAACAATACTTTTTTAAATATACTTAGGTTTTAATACTGTCAGGAATGCCTTTAATTATTTTTGACTCTCTGGCAACAGGAAGATTGCTGATTCTGATGGCCATTCTCTAAACTAGAATCTGCTCTAGCTGTTTGTATCTTTTTGGGTAATGGAAGACAGAAAAATACTTGGCGATGGCTTTGCAATACAAATGAAAGGAGAGAAAAATAGAACAGGCCCTTCCTGAACTCACGCTCTGCTTTTCCTCTGAAGACGTTTTTGTGATTCCTAACAATTCTCTCAAGACTGAAAGATAAAGATTGCATTGTAGATGTAGCAATCTTAATTAGTAAAATTGACAAGAAAATACTTATCTCTTTATATTGAATGACAGGAAAACACAACTTAGGGAATTTGTCACTTATGATTGAACAGAACCACATTTTAGTTTTACATATTTGTCTCAACCTGATTAGTTCATGAGCAGGTTTTTGTTTAGCTTCCTGGATCATGAATATTCTGAATTCTTAGCTTTTCTTATCAGCAAAGAAAAGCAATTTATAACATAGGGCTTGAACAAACAAAGTACTTCAGACTCTTTACAATTTTCCTGTTACAGAAGCTGTTTCTCTCCTTAGAAGGGAAATTCATTATTTTTAAAAAGATTTTTCTTGATCAAAGAGAGGTGATTTTATTATATTATTTTCTAATTTTCTTAGGGAACAGAAGATTTGTACTTCCAAATTTCACAATGCTAAGCTGAAGATATTTTTTCTATCTATATTTCGTTTCATAAAAGGAATCATTTAATAAAACAACTATCTCTTCTGAAAGAACACAAATATTTATCAAGCATTTTTCCATTATAAATATTACATACTCATACTTAGAACCCATTCATCTTTTGAAAGTTGTCAGTTTCATCCAATAATGTGAGGCATTTCCCCTTTCATGCACACATGATAGTGATTGATATTGTGTGATTTTATTTGTTACAGAAAATTTACCCAAAGCCTGTTCGGAGTTTCTCTGAGCATGAGTCATTAATCCTGTGTTAATTTCAAGAGTCTTATCAATAAATTGTATGTTTTGTATCTTTTTTCTTTATGTAATATATAGTCTTGAAAAATGTCTCTTTACTTTTGGTCTCCTAAGTGTTTTACTTCACTAATCTTGGGACATTAAGCATTATTATTATTTTTTTCAAATAAGACATTGTAACTTCCTCAAAAATGAACCTAAGACATTGATGACTTCATGCTGCTATTAGACGAAGTTTTCTCACAGCTGTAGGATGGTATTTCTGGGTCCCTGGGGAGCTGGAGAAAGGCTAGTGCTAGGGACTGATGCTGCTGACTCCTCTTTCTACCCTGGATAAAGATGTTGTACGTTCGCAATTGCAATTCTTGCTTAATAGGGTTCAGGAAGCAGGAAATCCTCAAATTTATAAATATTTTTTTCAAGATCCCACAATGACAGCCTGTGCCTGTTTTTGACCTGGGGCCACCACCATGCTTCTGTTAAGATTTGTATCCTTTGCCATGAAAGTTGGGAATTTATATAGGCATATGAGTTTATGTATGTGTGTTCTGTGCCCACAGATTCAAAATCCGTTTCCAGAGGTGGAATAACACACTAAGGTCTAGGAATTAATAGTGCTTGTTTCAATCAATCCAAATTTCAGATGCCTTGTCTTTGTATTTTCTAGTTATATTTTACTTATTAGCCACTTTGACTAAATCACTGTAGGTGCAGATTGACTTGTCCCAGCAGATAGTTATGTCGTCACTTAAATCCCCTCTATTATTTACTTGTACAATATCACCATGAGTAGTATTTCATTTTCAAACTTTTTAACAGCTTTATTGAAGTATACTTGATTTATAATCAACTACACATATAAAAAGTATACAATGTGATAAGTGCATGCATGCATATATCTATGAAACCATCCAGAAACCATTTTGCAATCAGGATAATGAACATATCCAGCAAACCTGAAGGTAACCTTCTGCCTGTTTATCATTTCATCCTCTGCTTTTCCAACTCCCTATTCCCAGGCAAGTACTGATCTGCTTTCTGTTACTGTAAATTACTCTGTATTTTCTGGGATTTAATATAAATGGAATGATATAGTATGCACTGTTTTTTATCTGGGTTCTTTCACTAACCATAATTATTTTGAGATGCATCTGTGTCATTGTGTAGTATATTAGTAGTTTTTTCATTCATTTTTATTGTTGAATATAATTTCATCATATGGACATACAGCAATTCTTTTATGCTGTGGATGGATATTTGTGTTGTTTCCTGTTATTGACTACCACAAACAAAGCTACTATTGACACTAATATACAAGTTTTTCTATGTACATATGCTTTAATTTCTCTTGGGAAATTATTATACCTCGAAGCAGAATGGTAGATATATGTTTAATTTTTTAATGAAACTGCCAAACCGTTTTACAAAGTGTTTCACATTTTACATTCAGAAGTGTGTGAGAGTTCCAGTTGCTCCACATCCTTGATAACAATTGTTATGGTCAGGTTTTTAATCTTAGACTTTCTAATAGGTGTGTAGTAAAATCTTGTTTGTATGTCTTTTATTTGAAAGATTTAAAGAAATCTTTCCTTTTCACTGTATTAGAGTTTGTATATTTTGGTTACATGTTCTATATCAGGTGTCTACCTGCAGAACTTGTCAATTCAGTATTATACAGGAGATTCTTTATGTGATTTGCAATTTTTTTTTCTCCCAGTCTGTGTAATTTGTCCTTTTATTATGTTAACAGTATCCTCTGAAGATCAGAAATTCTTAATTTTGATGAAATCCAGTTTAATGTGTTTTTCTATTTTGGATTGTGCTTCTTAGTTGAATCTAAGGAATCATATATATATATGTATATATATATATATATAATAGGCTCACTATTATATTTTGTTAGTCTACTTGTCTAACTCTTTCTTACAGTTTTTTTTGGGGGGTGCTATTCTATGTCCTTTGCATTTTCATATACATTTTAGCAACAGGTTTTCAATTTATACTTTTAAATGGTTTGCTGAGATTTTGGTTTGGAACACAGTAAACCTACAGATTTATTTAACACTAACTGAAATCTTAAAAATATTGATGAGGCAGGTGAATCACTTGAGCTCAGGAGTTTGAGACCACCTTGGGCACCGTGGTGAAATCCTGTCTCTATGAAAAAAAGATGAAAATTTAGCTGGGTGTGGTACTGCCCACCTGTAGTCCCAGCTACTCAGGAGACTGAGGTGGGAGAATTGCTTGAGCCAGGAGGTCGAGACTGCAGTGAGCAGTTACTGTGCCACTGCACTCCAGGCTGGGTGACAGAGTGAGACCCTGTCTCAAAAAAAAAAAAAGATACTGAATATTCCATTCCAAGGCACTATATGTATCTCCATTATTTAAATTTTTACATTTTCTCAACCAAATTTTGTAGTTTTCAGTGCACAGAGTTTACATGTATTTTGCCAGACTTATCCATGAGACTTTTATATTTTTGATGTAATTGTAAGTGATGCTATATTTTGTTTCAATTTCCCAATGTTTGTTGCTGGTATATAGAAATATCATTGATTTTTGCAAAGTAACTTTTTTTACTCTGCAATATTTTGTATCTCCTTTATTAGTTCCAGAAGCTTTTGTGTAGACTCCACAGAATTTTCTACATAAATCATAATGTCACTTGCAAATAAGACATTTTTACTTGTTTTGTAATCAAGATGCATTTAATTTCTTTTTCTTAACCTATTGCATTAGCTAGAGCCTCCTGAATAATATCAAATAGACAAGGTCTGCAGAGGGACATAATTTTAATTGTTCCTTTCTAATTTGGGTGCCTTTAATTTCCTTTTCCTGTTTTATTGTACTGGCTGGAAATTTCAGCACTATTTTGAAAAACAGTGATGAGAGTGAACATTTTTACCTTGTTTTTAATTTTAGACAAATTTTCAGTCTTTCAGCATTAAGTATGATATTACCTGTAGGTTTTTAGTACACTTCATTGCCCTATTGAAAACATTTCTATCCTACTATGCACAGGGTTTTTATCAGGGATAAATGCTGATTCTTGCCAAATGCTCTTTCTTCATCTGTTGAGATAATTTTTGTAAGTCTGTTATTACAGTGAATCACATTAATTGATATTAAATTTGAATAGACCTTGCATTCCTGTGATAAGCCTCATTTGGTCATAACACATTTTCCTGTTTGTGCATTATTGCATTTGCTTTACTCAAATTTTTGTTAAGTTTTATATATAAATTTATTAAATATATTGGTGTCCAACTTTTGTTTTTCTTATAATGTCTCTATCTGGTGTTGGTATCAGAGTATTGCTGACCTCATAGAATGTGCTAGAAAGTATTCTCTTTCCTTCAATTTTCTGGAAGGGTTTGTGCACAATTGTCATGATTTCATCCTTGAAGGTTTGATAAAATGAAATCATTAGTGCTTGGGTTTTTTTTTTTTTTTGGTGTGTGTGAATGTTAAAATTCCTCCAAATTGAATTTTTTAAAAAAATACAGGAATTTTAAAATGATCTATTTCTTCTTGAGTGGGTTTTTGCAGCTTGTGTCATTGCAGGATTTTCTCTCTTGTATCTAAGTCATTGGATTCATTGGCAATAACTTGTCAAAATATTTATTACCCCTTTAAAACATATAGTGATGTTATCTTCCTCTTTTCTAAAATTGGTAATTTATGTCTTCTTCCTCTTTCCCCTTCAGGCTAGTCTACCTAGAAGATTATTAATTTTACTGACTTTTTCAAATAAGCTTTTAGTCTTTTTTTTTCTTCTACTTGCCTTGAGTTTAGTGTGCTTATTTTTGTCATTTGCTAAGGTGAAAGCTTGAGTTATTATTTGTTCTTTAATTTTTTTTTTCTTTTATTATTATACTTTAAGTTTTAGGGTACATGTGTACATTGTGCAGGTTAGTTACATATGTATACATGTGCCACGCTGGTGCGCTGCACCCACTAACTCGTCATCTAGCATTAGGTATATCTCCCAATGCTATCCCTCCCCCCTCCCCCCACCCCACAACAGGCCCCAGAGTGTGATGTTCCCCTTCCTGTGTCCATGTGATCTCATTGTTCAATTCCCACCTATGAGTGAGAATATGCGGTGTTTGGTTTTTTGTTCTTGCGATAGTTTACTGAGAATGATGATTTCCAATTTCATCCATGTCCCTACAAAGGACATGAACTCATCATTTTTTATGGCTGCATAGTATTCCGTGGTGTATATGTGCCACATTTTCTTAATCCAGTCTATCATTGTTGGACATTTGGGTTGGTTCCAAGTCTTTGCTATTGTGAATAGTGCCGCAATAAACATACGTGTGCATGTGTCTTTATAGCAGCATGATTTATAGTCCTTTGGGTATATACCCAGTAATGGGATGGCTGGGTGAAATGGTATTTCTAGTTCTAGATCCCTGAGGAATCGCCACACTGACTTCCACAATGGTTGAACTAGTTTACAGTCCCACCAACAGTGTAAAAGTGTTCCTATTTCTCCACATCCTCTCCAGCACCTGTTGTTTCCTGACTTTTTAATGATTGCCATTCTAACTGGTGTGAGATGGTATCTCATTGTGGTTTTGATTTGCATTTCTCTGATGGCCGGTGATGATGAGCATTTTTTCATGTGTTTTTTGGCTGCATAAATGTCTTCTTTTGAGAAGTGTCTGTTCATGTCCTTTGCCCACTTTTTGATGGGGTTGTTTGTTTTTTTCTTGTAAATTTGTTTGAGTTCATTGTAGATTCTGGATATTAGCCCTTTGTCAGATGAGTAGGTTGCAAAAATTTTCTCCCATTTTGTAGGTTGCCTGTTCACTCTGATGGTAGCTTCTTTTGCTGTGCAGAAGCTCTTTAGTTTAATTAGATCCCATTTGTCAATTTTGTCTTTTGTTGCCATTGCTTTTGGTGTTTTAGACATGAAGTCCTTGCCCATGCCTATGTCCTGAAAGGTATTGCCTAGTTTTTCTTCTAGGGTTTTTATGGTTTTAGGTCTAACGTTTAAGTCTTCAATCCATCTTGAATTGATTTTTGTATAAGGTGTAAGGAAGGGATCCAGTTTCAGCTTTCTACATATGGCTAGCCAGTTTTCCCAGCACCATTTATTAAATAGGGAATCCTTTCCCCATTGCTTGTTTTTGTCAGGTTTGTCAAAGATCAGATAGTTGTAGATATGCAGCGTTATTTCTGAGGGCTCTGTTTGTTCCATTGATCTATATCTCTGTTTTGGTATGTTCTTTAATTTTTTAAATTTCAGCTTTTACCTTAGATGCAGGGAATACTAGTGTAGGGTTGCTACATGGGAATACTGGACCCACATAGTGAACATAGTGCCCAGTGTACACCATGAAATACTATGCAGTCATAAAAAAGAATGAAATCATGTCCTTTGCAGCAACATGGATAGAGCTGAGGGACATAATCCTAAGTGAACTAATACCAGAACAGAAAGCCAAATACTGCATGTTCTCACTTATAAGTGGGAGCACACATAGACATAAAGATGGGAATGACAGACACGGGAGATTGTGAGAGACGGGAGAGAGGGAGAGGAGTGTGAGTTGAAAGACTGTCTATTGGGTATTATGCTCACTAGTTTTTTTCTCTGTTGTTCTTCAGTTATTTCACTGTTTAACTCTAGTTTTTATGATTTCCTTACTTAGATTATTTTGTTTTTAATTTGTTCTTTTTTTAAAAAAGATAGAAGCTGTGATCATTGAATTGAGAACTTTCGTATTTTAAAATATCAGTGTTTAATGATAAACTGCCTTTAAATATAAATTTTACTCTGTATAGTCAAGATATACCACATGACATTATGGTATACATATAGATAGTAAATTGGTTACTATTGAAACAAAGTAACATATTTATCATCTGACATAGTTCCCATTTTTTTTTTGTTTCTGTGTCAAGAACAGTTAAATCCACTCATTTAGCATGAATCTCAAATACAGTATAATTTTATTACCCATAGTCCTCATGCAGTACATTAGACCTGGGGACTTGTTCATCCTACATATCTGTTACTTTGTATCTTCTGACTTCCATCTCCCCATTTCCTTCAAACCTCCTTCCATCTCCACCCCGGTAATCACTGTTTTGTTCTCTATCTCTGCATATTTGAATTTTTTTTAAAGATTCCACATATAAATGAGATCATACAATATTTTTCTTTCTGTGTCCAGCTTATTTACTATTTCACTTAGTATAATGTCATCCAGGCTTATCTATGATGTGGCAAATGGTAAGGTCTCATTCTTTATATATATTAGAGTTTCAGTTTCTTTATCCATTAATTCCTCAACAGACATTTAGGCTATTTCCACATCTTGGCTATTGTGAATAATGCTGCAATGAATACAGGAGTCCAGTTATCTTTATGATGTGGGAGGATTTAATTTCCTTTCGGTATAAACCCAGAAGAAGGATTGCTGGGTCATATGGTGGTTCTGTTTTTGATTTCTTTAGGCACTTCCATACTGTTTTCCATCATGGCTGTAATTTGATATGTTGTGTTTTCATCATCATTCAGTTTTAAACTACCAATTTCCCATTTCGATCTTTTTTTTACCCATGCATTATTTAGAAGCACAATTCAGAGACAGAATTAAATGCAAATGGGGGAATAAACACCCACAGTAGAGCTTGCTCTGGAGCCCAGCTCAGTGTGGACAGTCAGGCAGAAAATCAATAGGAAAGAGTCGAGTGCGGCAGGTCACAGTGGCAAGGGACACTGATAACATTATTTCCAGAAAGAGGATTTCACCATGAGTGAGAAAATATAAAACAGGTCAGAGTCCTCATAAGTTGGAGTACTGATTACTGAATAATTTAAATAAACAGACTTGAAAATGTTCAGAACCAAAGAGGTAATCCTGGAAGACCCTGTTCTACGGAAGAGGTGGTAGCTAGAAAGAGAGAAGCATCTCTGGGTGGGTTGGTGGTAAACGAAGAAGGAAGCAGGTAGAGGGAATTCACAATTCTATCAAAAAGAAAGAGAACTGATGAATCAGAAGACATTTTAACTTTCTTCATTCATGATTTTATCTCCAACAAAATTCTCTCTGTACCAAGAGAGAAGGATGCTCTTGAACTAGAAAACCTAGTAGCCTCTCTAAAAGTTTTTAATCTTCCCATCTAGAGGGGGATCAGTTGCTGATCTAGAAAAATAGAAGACATTTTAAAAGGAAAGAATGGCAGAAAAAAGGCAGAAAGTCATACAAGCATAAATAGAAAATAGAAAGTGAGATGCAATATCATTAAATAAATGATAATAAAACATTTCTCTAAAACAAAAATGAAACAAAAAAACTGTAACATAATACTCTAACAAAAATTAAATACTATTAAACAAGAATATGCAGATATTAAAGAGCTTCTTTATTCCAAATGTAAAACTTTGAGTTAAAATTAAAAACCCAGAAGAAAAATGACCCAAAAAATGTTAAAAGAAAAAGAAGTAAAATAAGAACTGATCAACTTCAGGACAGAATTTGTAAGAAAAGGACAGTCTAAGAAATGAAGAATAAATAATATGTTTCCATGGGATAATGAAGTGAAATAATAAAACAGAATAATAAGAAATAAATACAATTAAGATAGTGGTTAAAAAGATCAGAAAAAAATACAAATGGAAGACAGGCAAAGAAGATCCAAAATACCTATTATTGGAATCTCTGAAGCAGAAAGACAAAATATGAAATGAAACTAATATTTACAACTGTAATTTAAAAAGTCTGTAAATGAAAGAGATCCTTATCTGTATATCAATATTTTACCCTGTATGTTTGGAAAGTGAACCAGTAATGTTCAACTCTGAGATATATCCTTGTGAAACTTTTACAATTTAAAGGTCAGGATAAAAAAATATCCTCTGGGCCCCCAGGCAAAAAAGATCATACAGCCAAGAAAGGAAATAAAATCATTTTGGCATCAGAATGCTTTCCAGCAACCTGCAAAGCAAGAAGAAAGAGGAAAAATGAATTCAAGAAACAGAAGGAAAGAAAGTGATAGCCAAAGCCTTTATGTCCAAATACACTGTTCTCCAAGCTATCAGAACTTTAAAATTTTTTTTTAAATATTCAAAACTCCAGGAATACCATCACAGAGCTCTTCCTGAACACACTCTGAGAGATAAGCTTCAGCTTTACCAAGAGTGATAGGGAGTTTTTCAGCAAAAGGACAGTGAGGACCATGAGCATTGAACCTGCTCCAAGGAAGGTCCAGGCTCTGCTTTGCTTGACCTCTAAACCAGCTTGACTTTCAGAAATGCAGCTCAGATGGGCAGACCTAGGATCAACCAGGCAGGGATGTGAGTGTAGGCTGTGTGCAAGCTGCTCAACTGTTAAAAAACAAACTAAAAACATGTTGCTCATTTCAATAGGAAAATATGTTCTCCATGGATTCCTTCCACAGCTGTGGCTGCTTAAGATAACAGACAGTCCAATGACAGTAATGAAAAGCACAGAGGGCAGAAAGCTGCAACCTGCCCATGAACATTTGCAGAGGAGAATTTGTGAATTTGAGGCATACAGGCAGGAGCAGACTGTCTTGTGTAGAGAAATCAACAAAGAAGATGAGAGATTCTAATTGTTTTCGGCATTCTTCCCTTGGGTATTTGAATCTCTCTATTGGTTGACAAAGACAACATTCTGTACCCTTCCATATTATGTTAAATTTGTGGGAGGATGTGCTCTTTGGGTTTCATAAACATCCGAAGCCCACATAGCATTTTTTTTTTGGTGCTGGTAATAGGAAATGGGCATCCCTGAATGGTTTTAAGGATTTCCTCCCTCTGTTTAACTTCTGGTAATATAAACCCTACTATGTAAAGCTTGTCCTTCTACTAGAAGAATTGGCATCATCAGGGAGCTTGTTAGAAACATGAATCTGTCTGCATTTTTAAAGTGTGTCTCAAACTAGAATATACATCAAATTATCTGGGGATCTTGTTAAAAAGCAGATTTTGGTTCAGAAGTCTAGGGTGGGGCCTGAGATTCTGTATTTCTAACAAGCTCTCAGGTGATTTCATTGCTGCGGGCCCTTGTACTACACCAGATTACTTATGCTCAACTCCCTTCCTGAGTATTTGTTAAAGAATCTTTTCTGATATCCCGTGGCAAACTAGTGTCCTGTGTTTCTCTATAAATATCTAACAAGAGTAGTAAGGTACCATAACTGGAGAGACTCTCCTGCTACTCTTCCGAGGACCCAGGCCTAGGTATTGTATGCTGTGGTTGTTCTAGACTAGATTTCCCTTTGCTGGTATTCTTAGGAGGTCACAAAGGGTCACAAATCACATTAGCCCATAGCTGTCTTGAAGTGTTTAATAATCTTGTTTATTGCATAGATTTAAGAGAGGGCTGGCTCTTAATATATAGGAGAATTTATTTTGCAAGACATCAGTAGGAGTATAATCAAGAGTAATCTCACAAACATAAAAATAGGGCTTTTTTTTTTTTTTTTTTTTTTTTTGGTCAGGGTTTTACTTGCATCACCCAGGCTAGAGTGCAATGGTGTGATCTCGCCTCACTGCAACCTCCACTTCCCAGGCTCAAGTGATTGTTCTGTCTCAGCTTCCTGAGGAGCTGGAACTGCAGGCACACACCACCACACCCAGCTAATTTTTGTATTTTTTTGTAGAGACAGGGTTTTGCCTGGTATCAAACTCCTGAGCTCAAGTGATATGTCCACCTCAGCCTACCAAAGTACTGTGATTACAGGCATAAGCAACCGCACCAGACCCAAAATAGGGCTTCTTGATCTTGATTGTTCATTATAATCATATGGGGCCTTTACAAATGCTGTTTTCTAGGCCTCACCTCAGAGACAGTGAATCAGCATGGGGGTAGGTAACAGGTGTTTGCATTTTAAAAACTTTATGGGGGTTGTCTGGGCGTGATGGCACACACCTACATTCCAGGTACTCAGGAGGCTGAGGCAGGAAGATTGCTTGAGCCCAGGAGTTTGAAGTTACAGTGAGCTATGATTGTGTCATTGCACTCCAGCCTAGGCAACAAAGTGAGACCTTGTCTCTAAAAAATAAATAAGTAAACAAATGAAAATAAAAATTTCATGGGCGATTTTGATGCATAGTCACTTGAGAACAAAGCTCTGTGTAAACAATTCCCCTAGAGTTGTATAAACTGGTGGTACAAGGTCAAACAGATGACAAAGGGGCAAAGATAGCAAGAATACAGAAGATTCAAATGGCCCAATTAACAAGTTCAATTTAATGGAGAAACAGAACTGTGCACTCAGTAATTGGAAACTACACATTTTTTCAAACATACATTAATAATTACCAAAATTGTACATGTAATGGGGTATTAATCAAACCTCAACAAATGTAAAAGAATGATCAGTACACAGATCATATTTCCTATCAATAATGCAATTATATTAGATTTCAACAATAAAAACTTTTTTTTACTGAAAAAGCCCTACATGTTTAGACATGAAAAATACACACTTCTAATATACACAATTTGACTTAGGTCAAAGATAAAATCATAATAAATATTAGAAAATGTTTAGAGTGGAAAAATGAAACCGCTAAATATTGAAGTTTGTAAAATGCAGATAAGCGGTAATTCAAGAGAAACTTGAAAGTTTAAATGCTCATATTAGGAAAAAAGAAAATTTGAAAATCTATAAACTAAGAATCCAACTTAAGAAATTTGAAAGTGAATATCAAACTACAGACAAAGAAAAAGAAAAAAGAAATACAATGCATAGTTAGTTTTTTAAAAACTCACTTGAAAATGTTCAGAAAGATTGAATAAAGAAATAAAATCAGTATTAAGAATAAAAAAAGGAGGGCATGCCAAAATATATAATAGAGATTAAAAATTAATAAGGTCACACAATGGTACTTTATAAACTTGAAAAAGGAAGCAAAATTACTAGAAAGTAGAATTCATTAAAATTGAGTCAAAAAGGAAAAAATAAATTAACAAAATTAAATCAGAGACTAAAAAATATCTACACTGAAAATGCAAAAACAAAAACAACGGCAACAACAACAAAAGACTGACAGTTTTGCATTTGAATTCTACCAAATACTTAAGTAACAGACAATTCTAAGAGTATACATATTCCATTAGAGAATATAATCTTATTTTATAGGAATAATAACAAAGCCGTGTGAGGACAGTATAAGAAACAAAATTATAGGCCAATCCCACTCATGAATTGGGAGCAAAAGTCTGAAAAATTTTTCAAATAAATTCTTAATATATAAAAAGATAATGTATCATATCTGATATGAATTATCCACGAAAGCATGGATAATTTAACATTAGAACACCTGTTACTGTATTTCACCACATTAAGGACTAAAGGAGAAAAACACGTCAATAGATACAGAGAATCTATCCGTACTATTCACATGTAGTCAGTAATAAAATCCCTAGAAAACTAGTAATAGATGGAAGCTCCTGAATCTCATAAAGGATATCTATCAATAACTGATTGCATGTAAGTTATTCACTTATAAAAATCTAGAACTGTTTCCTTTAAAATCAGAAGCAATATACGTAGCTTTCAGTGTGCCTCAGCCACTTGGAAATAGCCAAATAGCATGTAAAGATCAACTCTATGACACTTAATTCAAGAAGGAAAATGGAAATTCACCAGGATAGTGAAGGACACATCAAACCTCGTGAAGAGAAGGTGGCAAAGCAGCCACTCTACGGTGTTTCGCTTACAAAGTGAGTGAAGCCTCAGTACATGAGAGGAGTAGCCACTCTCCCGGTGTGGCTCTCACTTTTCACTAGGGATCGGTGCAACCCAGGCCAAGGGAGAACACCCTGTTTCTCCCAAGCCCAGGAATTAGCATGGGGAAGGGCTGAAAGACACAGAGAGGGAAAGATAACTAGGAAAATCTGCAGGCATTTTCCCAGACATAGACTGAGAGAAGGACGCCATTTTTAATCTGGGATCTTACAGTCAATGTTTGGCAATGGTGGCCACTGCAGACATTTTAGTCTTCGGCCAAAGATTAGAGTGCTTGCTGTGTAGCAGGGGAAGGACCCCCACAGTCAGAACTGAGTGGCGAATGTGGAGAGTGCCCCAGCAGTAGGCATGGAATTGGGCTCTTTCCTGTTGCAGGACTGGAATGGGAGGAGAGTTATGGGAGAGAGAGAGAGAGATGGGAGATAAAGCGATGATTCTCCTGGGTGGTGTGACTTGGAGTCAGGGACAGCTTTGCCACATGGAACCAGTCTGCATGTGTCATTGCTGGGCACCCCAGTCTGCTCCCTTGATCATTTGTGGGAGAGTGCTCCACCAGCTCTGTGGAGAGGGAGGGAGGCAGATCCCATTTGCTTTGAGATCCAATCCTTGTGAGGACAGCCCCTAAGGGTGTGGGGGGAACAAAACCCACCAAAGCCCAAGGAAACAAGAGCACAGCACCAGCTGCTAAAGGGTGCAAAACCAAAGGCCAGGAACAGACTTGGAGTGGGGGTCATCTCTTGACCCCAGCCCTCCTGGCAAATGCACTGTTGTGGATGTGGCAGCAGCTCTTCTCATTAGATTTCTAGGAGTGTGGGCTGAAAGAGGCACTTATTGGGCTTTTCCAGTTGCTCCACCTCTGCTGAACACCAGCTGTGCTGGGGGGAGGGTGATTTTTGACTTCTCCCTTAGCACCCCCATCTGGACTGAGGGTGAATAGATGCAGAGTAAGTCTCCAACTGTCTCTTACTCTTAAGTCCCATGCACTGGACTGCAGCCTGTATTACACCATCAAGCAAAAATATATTCCTACACCAAGCAATGTCTGAGAAAGCCAACATGGTAAACTCTCTGAAACCAAGGAACCCATATAGAGCTGTGGGCCTCTGAGAGTACTCAGAAATGAAGCCTATCAATCATATACAACATACACCACAGTCATACCCTCAAGAGAAAAAAGGATAAAAAAATCAAAAAGTCCCATCCAAATGATAGCAAATTAAAAAAAGAAATGTCAGCTCCCTCAGATAAGAAGGGACCAGTGCAAGAACTCTGAAAATACAAAAAGTCAGAGTGTTTTGTCACCTCCAAAGGAACACAATAGCTTCCCAGCAATGGATCCTAATCAAAATGAAATGTTTGAAATGACAGATTCATAACTCAGAATATGGGAGGCAAGAAAACCTAATGAGATCCAAGAGAAAGCTGAAATCCAACACAAAGAAAACAGAAAAATGATCAGGATTTGAAAGATGACATAGCTATATTAAGAAAGAATCAAACAGAACTTCTGGAATTGAAAAATTTACTATAGGAATTTCAAAATACAACAGACTAGAGAAAGCAGAAGAAAGAATTTCAGAGCTCTGAGACCAATCCTTTGTATCAACCCAGTCAGACATGAATAAAGATAAAAGAAACAAAAGAATTAACAAAGCCCTTGAGAAATATGGGATAATGTAAAGTGATCAAATCTACCACTTACTGTCATTCCAGAGAGAAGAAGATAAATTCAACAACTTGGAAAACATATTTGAAGATATAATTCAGGAAAATTTCCCCAGTTTTGCTAGAGAGGTTGACATGTGGACACAAGAAATCAAAAGAACTCCTGTAAGATACTATACAAGATGCATCCCCAAGGTACATAATCATCAGACTATCCAAGGTCAACACAAAGGGAAAAATCTTTAAGGTGGCTGGAGAAAAGGGCCATATTACCTATAAAGGAAAACCTGTCAGACTAACAGCAGACTTCTCAGCAGAAACTTTACAAGTGAGAAGAGATTGAGGGCACATTTTTAGCATTCTTAAATAAAATAAATGCCAGCCAATTACTTCATTTCTCATCAAAATAAGCTTCATAAATGAAAGAGAAATAAAATCTTTCCTAGACAAGCAATTACTAAAGGAATTTGTCACCACCAAACTGGCCTTAGAAAAGGTGCTTAAGGGAGTTCTAAACATGGAAGCAAAAGAATGACACCACAAAAGCACATGTAAGCACATAGTCCACATGCTTTATAAAGCAACTACACAATTAAGACCACAAAGCTATTAGCTAACAACACTACAACAGGTACAAAGCTTCACATATCAACATTAACCTTGAATGCAAATGGCATATACACTACATTTAAAAAATATAGAGTGGCAAATTGGATTAAAAAATCTTAATCTTTCTACTGTCTTCAAGAGACCTATCTCAGATGTAATGACCCAAATAGGCTCAAAGTAAATGGATGGGAAAAAAATCTATCATGCAAATGAAAAATAAAAGAAAAAGCAGAGGAGGTCACTACTCTTGTAATAGTTAAAATGGACCTTAAACCAACAACAGCAAAAAACTGTTGTGGGAGAGTGCTCTCACAGAAGGGCATTATTACACAATGATAAAGAGTTCAATTCAGTGAAAAATTTAACTATCCTGAATATATCTGCACCCAACATTGGAGCACCCAGGTTCAAAAAACAATTACTTATTGACTTAGGAAAAAGATTTAGAGAGCCAAACAATAATAGTGTGGTCTTCAACACCCCAGTGACAGCATTAGACAGATCACTGAGGCAGAAAATTAACAAAAAAATTCTGGATTTAAATTTGACACTTGACCAATTGGACCTAATAGACATCTACAGAACACTTCACCCAACAACCACAGAATATACATTATTCTCATTTGCACACAGAACATGCTCTAAGATTGACCACATACTTAGTTATAAAGCAAGCCTCAATAGATTAAAAAGAAGAAATCGTATCAAGCCTATTCTCAGACTACGGTGGAGTAAAAATAGGAATCAATATCAATAGGAACTTCAAATTCACACAATTATATAGAAACTAACCAACCTGCTCTTGAATTAGTTTTGGATAGACAACAAAATTAAGGCAGAAAGCAAAACACTCTTTGAAATGAGTACATCTAAACAAGGAGGTAAAAGGTCTCTAGGAGAGACACATCATACCAAAACCTCTGAGAAATTACAAAAGTAGTATTTGGAAGAGAGTTTATAGTGCTAAATATCTACATCAAGAAGATAGATCTCAAAATAACAACCTAACATCACACATAGAAGAACTAGAAAAAAAAGAAGAAACTAATACCAAAACCCACAAAAGAAAAGAATTAACTAAAATCAGAGCAGGACTAAATAAAATTGAGATAAAAAATACACAAAAGATCAATAAAACAATAGGCTGATTCTTTGAAAGCACATACAAAACACTGATGGCTAGATTAACAAAAAAAGAGACAAGATCCAAATTACTACAATCAGAAAGGACAAAAGTGACAACTTACAACTGATCCCACAGAGACTATTCCAAACACTTCCATGCACACAAACTAGAAAATCTAGAGAAAATGAATACATTTCTAGAAACATACAACCTCCCAAGATTAAATTAGGGAGAAATTGAAATTGTGAACAAATAATGAACTCTGCAAATGAATCAGTAATAAAAACTTACCAACCAAAAAAAGCCCTGGACCACATGGATTCATGGCTTAATTCTACCAGACATACAAAGAAGAGCTGGTACCAATCCTACTGAAAACCAGTATCATCCTGCTACCAAAATCTGGCAAAGACAACAAAACAAAAACACTACAGGCCAATATCCCTGATGGACATAGATGTAAAAAATCCTTGCTGGGGGTGGGGATTACACCTGTAATCCCAGAACTTTGGGAGGCCAAGGGGGGTAGATCACCTGAGGTCAAGAGATCCAGACCATCCTGGCTAACATAGTGAAACCCCGTCACTATTAAAAATACAAAAAAATTAGCTGGGTGTGGTGGTGCACGCCTGTAGTCCCAGCTACTTAGGAGGCTGAGGCAGGAGAATCTCTTGAATCCGGGAGGTGGAGGTTGCAGTGAGCCGAGATCGCCCCACTGCACTCCAGCCTGGTGAAAGAACTGGTGAAAGACTCCGTCTCAAAAAAGAAAAAAAAAATCCACGACAAAGTACTAGCAAATTTAATCTAGCAGCACATTAAAATGTTAATTCACCACAAGCAAGTGGGCCTTATTCCTGGGAAGCAAGGTTGGTTCAACATATTCAAATTGATAAATGTGACTCACCATAAACAGAACTGAAAGCAAAAACCATATGATCATCTCATTACATACAGAAAAAGCATCTGATACATCAAATATCCCTTTGTGGCAAAACCCCTCAACGAAGTAGGCATTGAAGGAACATACCTCAAAATAATAAGAGCCCTTGTGACAAACCCACAGCCAACATCATACTGAATGGGCATAAGCTGGAAGCATTTCCCTTAAGGACTGGAAAAAGACAAGGATGCTTATTCTCACCACTCCTATTCCGCATAGTACTGGAAGTCCCAGCCAGAGCAATCAGATAAGAGAAAGAAATAAAAGGCATCCAAATTAGAAAAGAGGAAGTTAAATTATCTGTCTTTGATGATGGTATGATTGTATACATAGAAAATCCTAAAGATTCTGCCAAAAGACTCCTAGACCTGATAAAAGTCTTCAGTAAAGTCTCAGGATACAAGATCAATTTACGTAAATCAGTAGCATTTCTATATACCAATAAAATTCAAACTGAGAGCCAAATTAAGAAGGCAATCCCATTTACAATGCTCACACAAAAAATAAAATACTTAGGAATACATCTAACCAAGGAGGTAAAAGATCTCTGCAAGGAGATCTACAAAACACCACTGAAAGAAATAAGAGATAACATAAACAAATGGAAAAACCTTTCATGCTCCTGAATTGGAAGAATCAATATAGTTATAATGTCCATATTGCCCCAAGTAATCTACAGATTCAACACTGTTCCTGTCAAACTTCCAACACCATTTTTCTCAGAATTAGAAAAAACAATTCTAAAATTCATATAAAACCAAAAATGAGCCTGAATAGCCAAAGTAATCACAAGCAAAAAGAACAGAGCCAGAGGCATCATATTACCTGACTTCAAACTATACTACAAGGCTACAGAAACCAAAAGAGCATGGTCATGGTGCAACAATACACACACACAATAGAACAGAATAGAGAAACTAGACATAAAGCCTCACAACTACACCCAACTGATCTTTGACAAAGGTGACAAAAATAAACAATGGGGAAAGACCTCCCTATTCAATAAATGGTGCTGAGAAAACTGGCTAGCCATATGCAGAAGAATGAGATTGGCCCCTCCTCTCTCACATATGTAAAAATTAACTCGAGATGGATTAAAGACTTAAATGACCAAACTATAAGAATCCTAGAAGTAATCCTAGAAAATATTCTTCTGGACACTGGCCTAAAGAAAGAATTTATGACTAAGTCCTCAAAAAAATGCAACAAAAACAAAAATGGACAAGTAGGACCTAATTAAACTAAAGAGCTTCTGCCCAGCAAAAGAAACTATCAATGGAATAAATGGAAAAGCTACAGAATGGGAGATAATATTTGCAAATTATGCATCCAACAAGGGACTAATATCCAGAATCTAAAAGAAACTTAAACAAATCAACGATAAAAAACTCCAAATAACCCCTTGAAAGGTGGGGGAAGACATAAACAGGTACTTCTCAAAAGAAGACATACAAGCAACAAACAAACATATGAAAACATGCTTATGATCACTAATCAGCAGAGAAATGCAAATCAAAACCACAATGAGATACCATTTCACACCCGTCAGAATGGCTGTTATAAAAAAATCAAAAAATAACAGATGCTAGTGAGGCTGTAGAGGAAAGGGAATGCTTACACACTATTGTTGAGAATGTAAATTAGTTCAGCCTCTGTGGAAAAAAGTTTGGAGATTTCTCAAAGAACGAAAAATAGAACTACACTGTCACTCAGCAATTTCATTACTGGATATATACCCAAAGGAAAATAAATTATTCTACCAAAAAGACACATCCGCTCCTATGTTCAATTCAGCTCTATTCACAACATCAAAGACATGCAATCAACCTAGGTGCCCATCGACAGTAAACTGGATAAAAAAAATATGTGGTACATATGCACCATGGAATACCACACAGCCGTAAAAAAAACAAAATCATGTCCTTTGAAGCAATATGAATGCAGCTGGGGGCCATGATTCTAAGCAAATAAACAAAAACCCAGAAAACCAAATACTTCACGTTCTCACTTAGAAGTGGGAACGAAACATTGGACACCCATGCTCATAAAGAAGGGAAAAAGCAGACACTTGAGACTAATAGAGGGTACAGGGAGGGAGGGGAGCAAAACTTGATAAACTTCCTTTTGTGTACTATGTTCACTATTTGTGTGACAGGATCAATAGAAGCACAAACCTCAGTATCACAAAATATACCCTGTAACAAACCTGCACATGTAACCCCGAATCGAAAATAATAAAACAGATATCAACTTAAAACAATTGTGTTGAGATAGTTGATTGTCTATATGGCAAATAAAATTAGATTCATTAATTATACAGTTCACAATGATAAATTCTAGTGAATTAAATACTTTAATCAGACAGGAAGTGTTTAAAAAACTTCTAATAAGAAATATGAGAACATTATGAATTTGAGTTAGAGAAACATTTTTTAATCAAGACACAAAAAACACAAACTGTAAACTTGATTGACTGCAGTAAGATTAAGAAGAACATAAAGAGGAAGAAAAGACAAGTTATAAACTAGGAGAAATTATTTTTCATAGATATAACTAACAAAATATTAGTATCAGAAAATGCAAAGAACTCCCCAAACTCAATATAATTTAAACAAAGAATTCCATAGCATGAAATAATGAACAAAAGATACAAATAGATTACAGAAAAGGAAATGCAAATAGCTAATAAAATATGAAAATATATCCAAACTCAGTAGTATCTAGGAAATATGTATTAAATACAATATAATTTATATCTTCCTGAATGGCAAAAGTTAACGTCAAATGATGCGAATAACTGGTAAGAATGTGGAGCAATGCTAATTCTTATATACTGTGGAAGGGAGGTTGATTTGGTAAAACCACTTTGGAGAAAACTTTGGCATTATCACTTGATCTTAGCCAAAAGGCCGAGAAGCGATAAAAATTTGGTATTATCTAGTGAAACTGAAGATTAGCCTTTCCGTATGCCCTGAGCATTTCTTACAGAATGGGAGCACCTTGTGCACATGCAAGAGGAGCCAGGCACGAGGATCCTTCACAGCTGTGTTATTTGTAATATCAGGAAATTGTAAATGAATATCAATTCAGAGGCAAATGAAAATATGTTATGATTATACAAAGAAATATTATAATACTACAGCAAAAAAGAAATATATTACTTAGATGTATCTCCAGAAAAAAGAAGCTCCAGAAGAACCCATTTGGAACAATATAACTTTTGTAAATTAAAAACAAAACAAAACAAATAAGAGTAAACAAAATATTAGGATATGCACATATATTAAAACTGTGTAGAAAAGCAAAGCTGTGGTAAATACAAAAATTAGGAATATGAGAATGTAGTTACCTGTAGGTGGGAGAGAGAAGGATACAATTGCCGATTTTCATATACAAAATGTTCTGTTTCTTAAATCTGGTGGTGAGTTCATGGGTATCTAACTGCTATGTCTTATCTCTTTCATATGTGTAATTATTTAAATATAAAACATATTTGAAGATAAAGTATTAAATAAATGACTCAGTCAGTTATATTTCTAGGTTTTGTTTTGTTTTAAAAAGCAGCTCCAAAGCTAATGCAAAACATGTTATGCCAATTTTTAAGGCAGGTAGAATGAGTCAGAGTGTAATGTTCCTGCCCTTACTTAGAAAACAAATCCATTAAATATCTATAGTAAAGGCCTTCAACAGTCCGCATTTAGTTAAAAGTCAATAGATTGCTTGTTTTTGAACTCTGAACCTAAATTCTCCTCCTAATCACATTAATTTAATTTCCTGAGACATTTTCTTTTTAAAATAATTGTTATTGTGTGTATTTAAAGTATACAACATGATGTTATGAGATACATGTAGATAATAAAATGGTTACTGGAGTGATGCAAATTAATATAGCCAACATTGTGGCTTCTAAGCCACATTTACTTGTTTTTTCTGTTTCTCTTTCATTTCAGGACACTTTGATGGCTCCCTACATCAGTCATGGAACATAGGAACCACGCTAGGTATTTCAGTAGAGAGTCCTTCTCTTCCCTCCACCTTTACAGTTTTCTTCTTGTGCCTTCTATTGGTAGAACCTAAAAGGAAACAGCTAGCCAAGAGGACATTTTATTTCTAGGGTTTTACCTCCAGCATCACAAAGTGGAATATCAGAGGGTGGATTTGAAGCTGTGAGAATGTAGCTTACTGACGATCATGCTTTCCCTGTCTTTAGGCTTCAAGAACTGGACAACCTCAGAGCTTAGCTATGGGTCCATTTTGCCCCCTGTCTATCCTCTCTCTTTATGGAATCTCATCCAGTCTCATGCTTTCTATATCATATAAAATGAAACAGCTCCCAAATGTGTTTCTCCAGCTTTCACTTGCACTCCAGACTAGTATACCATATACATAACTTGACAACTCTATTTGGATGCCCAAAAAGCAATTGCAAACTCAATATTTACAAAATGGAATTCTTGTAGTTTCAAACCTGTTTCCCTCTTCTCAGTTAATGTCACCACCATTCACACAGTTTTTCAAGCAAAACACCTAAATGTAATTCTTGCTTTCTTCCTTTATATCACCCCATTCAACCTAATCAAAATTCTTGAGGTTTTACCTCCACAATACACTCAGATCCCTCATTTTCACCCAATGTGCATGGCCATGGGTGATACAAATTGCTTTTCACATAGACCACAAAGATAGCTTTTCAAACGTTCTCCCTTGTTTGGTTCTTCATTCTTCACCCCACTTCACCCCACTTCTCACATAGCAGCATAAGTGATCTTTTAAAAATATCAAGTATATCATGTTGTTTCCCCACTTAAAATCTTCAAGGATTTCCGTTAGCAGAACAAAAAAGGCATCTGTGACCCCACATGACCTAGACCCTACATCTCCATGATCATCTCACACGGTTCTCCTTCTAGCCCACTGCTTTCTGGCCCCACTGGCCAGGATGCCCTGTCAGTACAATGCATGGCTGGCTCTGACTATCCTACAGATCTGAGTTTATTTATTTATTTATTTATTTGTTATTTTTTGGAGATGGAGTTTTGCTCTTGTTGCCCAGGCTGGAGTACAATCTCGGCTCACTGCAACCTCTCCCTCCTGGGTTCAAGCGATTCTCCTGCCTCAGCCTTCCAAGTAGCTGGGATTACAGGTGTGCACCACCATGCCTAGCTAATTTTTGTATTTTTATTAGAGACAGGGTTTTGCCATGTTGGCCAGACTGGTTTCAAACTCCTGACCTCAGGTAGTCTGCCCACCTCGGCCTCCCAAAGTGCTGGGATTACAGGCATAAGCCACCACGCCTTGCCCAGATCTGAGTTTAAACATGACTTTTTCGCAGAGGTCTTTCCTTATGATCTGTGTAAAGTTGCCCCCTTGCCTTCCAGTTACACCCTATCATTTCATACTATTTATGGTCTATTAATACTTGTATTTGAAGTTTTTTTCCACGTGTTTCATAGCTAGACTCTAACATCTGTGTGGGTAGTGACCTTGTCTGTCTTTAAACCACTGCATCTCCAGGATCTATAACAGTGTCTAGCACATAGTGAAGTTCAATAAACATTTGTTGAATTAGCAAGGCCCATGAGAGCAGTCCAGCTTTCAATCATTTCCATGCTCATTGTTCAGGGTAAACTCAGTAAAAAGTAGACCAACATGTGAGGGGGATCTCATATGTTAAAAGAAAAACAGACCAGTTAAATTTAACAGAAGTTCAATTGAGCAAGGAATGATTTGTGAATTGGGCAGCCCTACAAACCAGAGTAGGTTCAGAGCAACTCAGGTGCTGCTGCACGGTCAGAGGAGATTTATAGACAGAAAAGGGAAACTGACATATAGAAAAAAAGAAGAAAGGTACAAAAACATCTGCACTGGTTACAGCTCAGTGTTTGTTTGCCTTATGTGATCACGGTTTGAACAGCTGGCCACCTTTGGTCAAAATTCAGTGATTGGTACAGGAATAGGTTATAGTCTGTTTACACAACCAGTTTGGTTACAGTTCACTACTTATGGAGAAACCTTTAGTACAAACTTAAAAACAAGGAGGCAGCTTTAGGCTAAACCTAATTTAACTCATGACATGGCAACATGTTCAATTTCCTAAAAATGAAGGCAGCATGAAACTCTCTTATGCCTAGAAAGTAGATTAGAAAGGTTTGCTCTGCAAGTGGTGCATCCAAAAATATCACCACCAGCCTCCCAGATACTCAACTATTTATGACTATTAACTGCTGGCCACCCTCTCCGACCAGAACTGCTGATGAAAACTAGCTGGCTGGAGCCAGGTCACTTCCCTGCATCTAGATAGAGAGTTCATGGTCTTCATTCGATTAAAAGAGGCCACACAGACCCTACTGCTAATAGCCACTTCTGACACTAATTGGTTCTGTTCTTTTCCAGTGGTGGCCTAGAACAGACTGGCACTGGGAAAGAACAACTGACAGACCCTGGAGTCCAGTAGCTTCAGGCTTACATGCATTTTTTCCTGCTTGTTTTCCTGGCAACTCTGAGTTTCAGTTTCCTCATTTGCAATGTGCCAATACTAATATTTATATCATAGGATGTTTGTAAAGATTAAAAGAAATAAAATGTGTAAAGTGTCTAAAAATGTCTGGCACAAAATAGGAATGAAATTGCCAGGAATTATGTAAAATTAATCTCAGGATATTTAGAATTTAGGAGTAAGCTCACAATGCTAACCCCCTCTTTTGCTTCCCTTTGTATGATGAAAGAAAAATATCTTGGGGCCCCAAAATCACTAAGCTAAAGGGAAAATTCAAGCTGGGAACTGCTTAGGGCAAACCTGCCTCCCATTCTGTTGAAAATCGTCTCTCTGCTCACTGAGATAAATGCATATCTGACTGTCTCATTTGGAAAGGCTAATCAGAAACTCAGAAGAATGCAACCGTTTGTCTCTCACCTATCTGTGACCTTGAAAGGCCCTCACCTCTTTGAGTTGTCCCGCTTTTGCTTCCAGTTGTCCTGCCTTTTGGGCTGAACCAGTGTTCATCTTATATATGTTGATTGATGTCTCATGTCTCCCTAAAATATATAAAACCAAGCTGTGCTCTGACCATCTTGGGCACATGTCAGTCAGGACCTCCTCAGGCTGTGTCACGGGCATGCGCATCCCCAACCTTGGCAAAATAAATTTTCTTTCTTTTCTTTTTTTCTTTTTCTTTCTTTTTTTATTTGAGATCGAGTTTTGCTCTTGTTGCCCAGGCTAGACTGCAATGGCGCGTGATCCCGACTCACCACAACCTCTGCCTCCCAGGTTAAAGAGATTCTCCTGCCTCAGCCTCCCAAGTAGCTGGGATTACAAGCATGCACCACCACGTCTGGCTAATTTTATATTTTTAGTAGAGACAGGGTTTCTCCACGTTGGTCAGGCTGGTCTTGAACTCCTGACCTCAGGTGATCCGCCAGCCTCCGCCTCACAAAGTGCTGGGATTACTGACGTTAGCCACCGCGCCCGGCCAGACTTTCTTAATTAATTAAGACCTGTCTTAAAATTGGGGGGTTCACAGTATTCACTAGAGAGGAAAAGTTCCCCCTTTCTGTGCTATCTTCTCTTTGCTCCCCAGCATCTCTTCTTTGCCCTTGTCCACTTTGCTCTTGACCAGAGAGGCTGTATGGGTCACACCACCAGCCCCTTATCCTGTGGTTGAGGCAGATGTGGAGCACTGGCAGGGGCAGGGGATGGGCATGCATTCCTCAGCTCTCTCCCTGCAGGATGGCCAGAGGGGCTGCATCCTTCATCCACAGGTCTCAGCTCTGATACTAGATCCTCTGCAGGGCATCCTCTCTGCCTCTGAGTTGCTACAACTGCTCCTTCCTCTTGCTTCTTCAGCCAAGAATCAGTAACTCCACTTTCTTAAGGTATTATGCTATTCTTCCCCTTGTGGTTTCTGTAAACTCTGCTAACACCCTGGTCAACAGTCCCGTTTTTAAGCTTTCTGAATTATTCTAATCTGGGCATGTCATCTATTTCTGCCAGAATTAGGCTGGTGGAAACAGCCACTAGTGTGTTCTCAGACATAATTACATACTCTGGCCTGAACACACACGTGTGTGTGTGTGTGTGTGTGTGAGACAGAGTCATGTGGTTGTTTCTTATTATTCCCCTTGTGGGGACCAGGGATCACTGAGTCCACTACTGCCCCACTCTAGATGTGCCCATTTGGGCCATTGTTGCCACCAGCCATCCTGACTGTGGCCTGGGTGGGTCTCTGCCATGAACACATTCATTTAGGGCTATGACTCTGCTTTCAGCTATGTCTCCAATTTGCCATTTGACACAAGGTCCTAATCTGAGAAGGAGCTTTCAGCTTCCTGGTCTGGGGACAACACTAGTGCTGTGGGTCTCTGGGTCTCTAACACTTGTAGAATGAGATGTCAGCTGCTTTCTCAGCTGAAAAACTCCCTTGGGCTCTACTTCTTTCTCTGTGCAACTCTTCCAGGATGGGAAGCAAAGGCTCTGTTCACTTTCCAGCTGCTTGCATGTTTGCCAGGTCTGTGGAACCACTGGGGCTGCCTAGCAGCAGAGTGAATGGAAAAGAGGCCTGCGTGGTGGGATTCTGGTCTTTCTTGAGTAGATGGCTGTATCTAATAAAGCTGAGTATTTGGTGGTAAGAGTCATAGGTTGCTGTTATTTAATAAATCCCAATCCCATCCAGAGGCAGCTCTAATATTCTGGCTGAAAGCATTATTCTTAGTTCCTTACAGATTCAAAATTGCTGACTTTTTAACCACTAGAAAAAAATGTTAAAGAAGCTTCTAAAAGCTTTCCTTTGTTACCACCAAGACATATTTCTAGCCTCTAAAACACAGAATAAAATGATAAAATCTCCATTCCATGGCTAAACTCTCCACCTGGCTTCCCTTAACTCTTGAGTCTGAACTCTGTACACTTCCTCCATCAGCCACAGCCACACACAACTGCCCCCGATGTCCAGACTTACCCACCACAGCATGGGTACCACAGGAATTCTGCTGAGTTACTAGTTTTTTAAAAGCTCTGACTTTAATAGGAATGCTACGCTAGGAAAGCAGAGAATTACAGTGGGCAAATACGACCATTTGATATGGTCTTAGGGACACTTTGGAGAAATAAGATCGGGCTCAGATGGTGGTTAGTTGCATCATAACTGGCGAGCCAATGATATTCAAGGCTTTACTTCATTAAATGTCAACGTTGGGGGAGGCCTCTGAGAAACTGCTCCTGGGTTCTTCCCCCTCTCCCATCCTGTTCAAAAGACTATGACAATGTTAAATAAAGGTCTAAAAGGATGTTATAAACATTACCTATGACATAAAATTAGAAGGCATAGAAAATATTTGGTTGACAGAAATAGTATCCAGATGTCCTCAATTGATAGTAAAAATGAGTTGAAATATGCAAGAAAGAAAACACATTCAGAATGTCAATTGTAAACACAAAACTCACAGCCATATACACAGTAAGACAGTAACCTCTAACAGCAAGGCACAATCTGTTGGGAATTGCCACTAACCACAAAGCAAAGAAAACTATTTTGAAAAACTCCTATCCCAGTTTGGCCTCAGGATGTGACTACTTAATAAAAGGTAAGAAGACTCTTTATAGTGCCTTCACTGTCTGCTTTTTCACTTATATACTAGGTTTGACCAAATTTGAAAACATCTGAGCAGTCACTGTCAATTTCCTGCAAGGAGGCTGACTCCGTGTGGTCAAACAGTCAAAAGTTACTGCCTCCTCCTCACATTTTTCTGTATCAGTGCCAAAAACTCAAATGGCTCCAGGGCCTAGGCAGGCAATATGTTGAGTAAAGTATGGAAGAGAGGGAGGTGGGAACTGAAATGAGCTGAAGATGCTAAAAAATTCATGATTGCTGTCCAAGTCTGGCAACCACTCTTCAGTTCAGTTGTCACCGTCTTTGAATATGGGCACACTCTTATCAGATAGTCTCTTTTAGTTTATACTAAATCTGATAATTATTAAATGCTGGCAATATATTTGATTTCTTTATTTTTTTCATTTGTTTTTTCTTTTCTTATTGTGGCAAAACATACACAGCATTAAATGTACCATCGTAAGAATTTTCAAGTGTACAGTTCTGTGGCATTAAGTACATTCACACTGTTGCACAGCCATCACTACCATCCATTTTCAAAACTTCTTCTTCTTCCCCAACTCCATTAAATGATAACTCCCCATCCTCCTCTTCTCCAGCCCCCAGGAAACACCATTCTACTTTCTGTCTCTATGACTTTGACTACTCTACATGCCTCATGTAAGTGGAATCATGCAATAGCTATTTTTGTGTGTGTTTGGCTTACTTCACATAGCATAATATCTTCAAGGTTCATCCATGTAATAGCCTGTGTCAGAATTTTATTTCATCTTAAAATTATTATTTTTATTCTCTGTAAGGGTAGAGTATACATAAGGTAAAATTTACTACTTTAACTTTTAAAAATTATTATTATACTTCCTGTGTTGGGGTACATGTGCAGAATGTGCAGGTTTGTTACATAGGTATACATGTGCCATGGTGGTTTGCTGCACCCATCAACCCATCTTCTACATTAGGTATTTCTCCTAATGCTATCCCTCCCCCAGCCCCCAACCCCTTAACAGGCCCTGGTGCGTGATGTTCTCCTCCCTGTGTCCATGTGTTCTCCTTGTTCAGCTCCCACTTACGAGTGAGAACCTGCGGTGTTTGGTTTTCTGTTCTTGTGTACTTTAACTATTTTTAAGTGTGTAGTTCAATAATATTAAGCACATTCACATGGTTGTGTAGCACATCTCCAAAACTTTTTCATCTTGCAAAACTGAAACTCTGTACCCATTTGGCTACTCCCTGTTTCTCTGTTGCCTCAGTCTCTAGCAATCACTATTCTACTTTATACTTCCACAAGTTTGATGACTCAGTTCTAGATACCTCATATATAAGTGGAATAATACAGTATTTTGACTTTTTGTGACTGGTTTATATCACTTAGCATAATGTTCCCAAAGTTCATTCACGTTGTATGTGTCAAAATCTCATTCCTTTTTAAGGAAGAATTATGTTTCATTGTACAGGCATACCTTGAAGATATTGAGGATTTGTTCCCAAGAAATTTAGTATCACAATAAAGTGAGTCACACCGTATTTTTGGCTTCCCAGTGCATATAAAAGTTATTTTTATACAACACTATAGTCTATTAAGTGTGCAATAGAATTGTGTCTAAAAAACAATGTATATACCTTTATTAGTTAGAGTTCTTTAGAGGGACAGAACTAATAGCATAGATGTATATATAAAGGAGAGTTTATTAAGGAGTATTGACTCACATGATCACAAGGTGAAGTCCCACAATAGGCTGTCTGCAAGCTGAGGAGCAAGGAAGCCAGTCTGAGTCCCAAAACCTCACAAGTAGGAAGATGACAGTGCAGTCGTCAATCTGTGGCTAAAGGTCCAAGAGCCTCTGGCAAAACACTGGCATAAGTCCAAGAGTCCAAAAGCTGAAGAACTTGGAGTCCGATATTCCAGGGCAGGAAGCAGGCAGCATGGGAGAAAGATAAAGGCTGAAGGACTTAGCCAGTCCAGTCCTTCCGTGTTCCTCTGTCTGCTTTTATCCTAGCCATGCTGGCTGCTGATTAGGTGGTACCCACTTAGATTGAGGGTGGGTCTGCCTCTCCCAGTCTACTGACTCAAATGTTAATCTCCTTTGGAAACACCCTCACAGACACACTCAGAAACAATACTTTGCATCCTTCGATCCAATCAAGTTGACAATGTTAACCATCACAAGTGCACCCTTGTCACCTTGAACCATACACATATCCTGAAATCATGCATTATCTACAAATAATAAGAATAATAAGGTGATAATTACACCTAACATAATACAGTTATCCTTTATACGGCCAGAAACGCACCAATTCCTGCCCCAAATGCTATTATATAAAGTTAACAATACTTAAATGCTGATATGAAGTCTTATTTCACATGATAAAGGAAAAGAAAATAAAATGAAGATATTTTCTTAGTACAAACACAAACATGTCCTTAACAAAGCAAGGAGGAAATATTCATGACAATTATAGTCCTCGTTTCTGCAGCTGGTCACGTGGTCATAGCTGGTATTGATGACTACCTTCTTCTACTACCCATTCTGTATTCCCTTTGCCTTCAGTAAGCACCTCGGCAAGTCGTGGCTTTTTACCAGTGGAGTGACCCAAACCTTCATTCTTGAAGGGTCTGGGCCATTTGTAGTCCTGCCTGGATTGGGTTGTTGTAGTTTCCCATTGACCTTAATCACAGGACATGGTAATACTAAGAGATGCCCTAATGGTTCTCCTGTATTCCATGCAAACTCTTCCTTACCTCCATTGTGGAGTGGTAGACTGTTTTCATCTTGATAGTCCGGATTGATCACTCCAGCCAACACTGTAATCCCCTTCTTAGCCTGTTGACTTAGAGGTAGGAGGAGCCCAAAGTGGCCAGGTGGCAATCTTAACTTCCAGTTAAATGAAATCGTTGTTGTGTCTCCTGGTGGCAACATTCCTCCCTCTGGAACTAAGACCTCTAGGCCAGCAAAATGTAATGTCGCAGGAAGAGGAAGCAAAAATTTTGCTAGTGGGTCACTAGGGGTGATAGTGAATGGTGCCACTTCCACTTCCATCCCTTGATTCCTGGACCTGTGAATCCTGGCTATGGGAGAAACAGTACCCTATATTGGATGCTGATTCAGAGCATACATAGACATCCGGAGAACTTTGCCCCAGCCCTGCTAAATATTGTCACCTAGTTGGTGTTGTAATTGGGATTTCAAAAGGCCATTCCACCGTTCTATCAATCCAGCTCCTTCAAGATGATGGGGAACATGGTAAGCCCAGTGAATTCCAGGAGCATGAGCCCACTGCCACATTTCTTCACCATAAAGTGGTTGCCTTGGTCAGAGGCAATGCTGTGTGGAATACCATGATGGTGGATAAGATATTCCGTGAGTTCACAGATACAAGTCTTGGCAGAAGCATTGCATGCAGGATAGGCAAACCCATATCTGGAGTAAGTGTATATTCCAGTGAGGACAAACCCCTGCCCTTTACATGGTGGAAGAGGTTCAATATAATCAACCTGCCACCAGATAGCTAGCTGATCATCCTGAGGAGTGGTGCCATATCGAGGGCTCAGTGTTGGTCTCTGTGGCTGACAAACTGGGCACTCAGCAGTGGCTGTAGCCAGGTCAGCCTTTGTGAGTGGAAGTCCATGTTGCTGAGCCTATGTGTAACCTCCATTCTTGCCACCATGGCCACTTTGTTCATGTGCCCATTGGGCAGTGACAGGGGTGGCTGGGGAAAGAGGCTGAGTGGTGTCCATAGAATGGGTCATCCTATAGACTTGATTATTAAAATCCTCCTCTGCTGAGGTCATCCTTTGGTGAGCACTCACATGAGATACAAATATCTTCACAGTTTTTGACCACTCAGAGAGGTACATCCACATAACTCTTCCCCAAATTTCTTCGTCACCAATTTCCCAATTTCCCAATCATGCTTCTTTCAATTCCCTGACTGTCCAGACAAACCATTGGCTACAGTCCATGAATCAGTATATAATCGCACATCTGGCCATTTCTTCTTCCATGCAAAGTGCACAACCAGGTGCACTGCTCGCAATTCTGCCCACTGGGAAGATTTCTCTTTGATGCTTTCCTTCAGGGATGTCCTAGAAAGGGGCTGTAGTGCTGTAGCTGTCCACTTTCTGGTGGTGTCTGCATATTGTGCAGAGCCATCAGTAAACCAGGCCTTTGTCTTCTTTCCCTCTGTCAACTGATCATAGGGAATTCCCCATGATGCCATTGGTGCATGCTTGGGGAGAGAAGGCAGGGTGGCAGAAGTGGGGATCATGGGCATTTAAGCCACTTTCTCATGTAACTTACTTGGACCTGCTTGAGCCTGATCACATATAACACTTCCATTTGATGATGGAATGCTGCTGTGCATAACCCACTTTATGGCTAAATGGGTCAGAAAGCACCCAGTTCATGATAGACAGTTGAGGCTGCATGGTGTTTGATGATCCATAGTTGAACGTTCAGTTTCTATCAAAGCCTAGTAACAGGCCAAGAGCTGTCTCTCAAAAGGAGAGTAGTTATCTGCAGAAGATGGCAGGGCTTTGCTTCAAAATTCTAGAGGCCTCTTCTGTGATTCACCTATGGGGGCTTGCCAAAGGCTACAAACAACAACTCCATCTGCCACTGGCAGCTCAAGCACCATTGGATCTGCTGGGTCATATGGCCCAAGTAGCAGAGCAGCTTACACAGCAGCCTGGACCTGTTGCAGAGCCTTCTCCTATTCTGGACCCCACTCAAAACTGGCAGCCTTTAGGGTCACTCGATAAATGGGCCAGCCAGAATAACACACCCAAATGAAAAACATGTTCCCTCCAAAATCCAGATAGGCCCACTAGGCGTTGTCTTTTTTTCTTGATTGTATGAGGAGCCAAATGCAATAACTTATCCTTCACCTTAGAAGGAATATCTCGACAGGCCCCACACCACTGGACTCCTAGAAATTTTACTGAGGTAGAAGGTCCCTGAATTTTAGTTGGATTTATTTCCCTTCCTCTGGCGCACAAATGTCTCACCAATAAGTCTAGTGTGTTTGCTACTTCTTGCTCACTGGATCCAATCAGCATAATGTCATCAATATAATGGACCGATGTGATTCCTTGTGGAAGTGAAAAGCCATCAAGCCCTCTCCAAATAAGATGATGACACAAAGCCAGAGAGTTGATATATCCCTGAGGGAGAACACTAAAGGTATATTGCTGGCCTTGCCAGCTGAGGACAAATTGCTTCTGGTAGGCCTTATGGACAGGAATGGAGAAAAAGGCATTTGCCAAATCAATGGCTGCATACCAGGTCTCAGGAGATGCATTAATTTGCTCAAGCAATGAAACCAAATCTGGTAGAGCAGCTGCAATTGGAGTCAACACTTGGTTAAGCTTACAATAGTCCACTGTTCATCTGTCTTCTGCACAGGCCAAATAGGAGAGTTGAACAGGGATGTGGTGGGAATCACCACTCCTGCATATTTCAAGTCCTTGATGGTGGCACTAATCTCTGCAATCCCTCCAGGGATATGATACTGTTTTTGATTTACTATTTTTCTAGGTAGAGGCAGCTCTAATGGCTTCCATTTGGCCTTTCCCACCACAATGGCCCTCACCCTACCAGTCAGGGAGCCAATGTGGGGGTTCAGCCAGCTGCTAAGTATGTCTATACCAATTATGCATTCTGGAACTGGGGAAATGACCACAGGATGATTCTGGTGCATTGTCAATGTGCAGTAATAGTTTGAATTTTTTTTTCCTGAGCAGTTGTTATTAACAGTGGGTTTAAAATATTTAGTAAATCATGTGGTAAACAGATGTGCCATTACCCAGGCTTTGTTGTTTCATTTATAAAACACAGTCAGAGTAGATTTAGCATAGTTCTTCAGGATCCTAGGATTTTCAGAATGGTAAACAAGCATTGGCTTCAGCTTAGATTCACCAGCTGCACTAGCCCCTAATAAGAAAGTCAGCCTGTCCGTAGAATCATTGAAGCTAGGCATTGACTTCTCCCCTCTAGCCATGAAAATCCTGCATGGCATCCTCTTCTGATGGAAAGCTGTTTTATCTACATTGAAAATCTGTTGTTCAGTGTAGCCACATTTATCAATGATCTTAGCTAGATCTTCTGAATAATTCGCTGCAGCTCCTACATCAGCACTTGCTATTTCATCTTGCACTTTTATGTTATAGATTTGACTTCTTTCCTTAAACCTCATAGGGCAACCTCTGGTAGTTTCAACTTTTCTTCTGCAGTCTTCTCATCTCTCTCAGCGTTCACAGAATTGAAGAGGTTTAGGGCCTTTCTCTGGATTAGGCTTAGGTTTAAGGAAGCATTGTGTCTGGTTTGATCTTCAGTCCAGATCACTAAAGCTTTCTCTATATTAGCAATAAGAATGTTCTGCTTTCTTTTCATTTGTGTGTTCCCTGGAGTAGCACTTACAGTTTCCTTCAAAGCCTTTTCCTTCCCATTCACAACTTGGCTAACTTCGGCACAAGAGCCTTAGCTTATCAACGTGCCTTCTTCACTTGGCTTTATTATTTCCAGCTTTTGATTGAAAGTGAGAGATATTACTCTTTTTTTCACTTGAACACTTAGAGGTCATTGCAGGGTTATTAACTGGCCTAATTTCTTTCTTTCTTTCTTTCTTTTTTTTTTGCATCTCAGGGAATAGGGAAGCCCAAGGAATATGAGAGAGATGAGGAAACAGCTAGTTGGTGGAGCATCAGAACACACACAATGTTTACGGATTAAGGATGCTGTTTTGTATAGATGTGGTTTGTGGAGCCTCAGTACAATTACAATAGTAACATCAAAGATAACAGATCATATGTCACTATAACAAGCATAATAATAATGAAAAAGTAATGTGATCTGTGACATGGAGGCGTGAAATGAGCACATGCTGTTGGAAAACTAGTTCCAACAGACTTGCTCGATGCAGGGTTGCCACAAACCTTCAATTTGTAAAAAGTGCAATAAAACAATGCAAAAAACAATGCATTCCTGTATGTATATTCCACATTTTGAATTGTGGAAACAATGCAATAAAACAATGCAAAAAAATATATTCTTTTATGTGTATTCCACATTTTGTGTATCCATTCATCTTTTGTTGAACATTTGGGATGCTTCCATCTTTTGGCTCTGTGAAAAATCTTGCTATGAACATTGGTACATACATAGTTTTTTGAGTCCCTGCTTTCATTCTTCTGAGTATTTACCAGAAGTGGAATTGTTGGGTCAAATGGCAATTCTATATTTAATTTTTAAAGGAAGTATCATATCGTTTTCTACAGTGGCCACACCATTTTACATTTCTACCAGCAGTGTACAAGTGTTTCAGTTTCTCCACATCCTCACCAACAATGTTACTTTCTATTTTCTGTTTTGTTTGTTTTTTATAATAGCTATTTTAAAGGGTGTGATGTGGAATCTCACTGTGGTTTGATTGGCTTTTCTCTAATGATGAGTGATGTTGAGCATCTTTTTATATGCTATGGCCATCTGTCTATCCTCTTTGGAGAAATCTCTATCCAAGTCAATTCACTCACTGTGGTTTGATTGACTTTTCTCCAATGATTAGTGATGTTGAGCATCTTTTTATATGCTATGGCCATCTGTATATCTTCTTTGGAGAAATGTCTATTCAAGTGTTTTGTCCATTTTTAAGTTGGATAATTTTTAGTTGTTTGAGTTGTAGCAGTTTTTTTATATATTCTGGAAATCAGTCCTTTATTCAATATCAGATTTGCAAATATTTTTCACATTTTGTGAGTTACCCTTTCACACTGTTGATAGTGTCCTTTGATGCAAAACACTTTTAACTTGGATGAAGTACAATTAATCTATTCTTTCTTTTGTTGCTTGTGCTTTTGGTGTCGTATCCAAGAAATCATTGCCAAATTTTATGCCATAAATCTTTTCATCTATGCTATTTTAAGGGTCTTACAGTTTTTGCTCTTAGATGTTTGATAAATTTTGAATTAATTTTTGGATATAGTGTAAGGTAATGGTTCAGATTTTTCCTTTTGCATGCTTTCTCATCACCGTTTGTTGAAAAGACTGCCCTTTCTCCATTGAATGGTTCTAGCATCCTTGTTGAAAATTGTTTGACCACATATATGAGGGTTTATTCTTTTACACTTGTCGATGTGTCTGGCATTATGTTCATACCACACTGTTTTGATCACTGTAGCTTTGTAGTAAGTTTTGGAATTATGAAGCATGAGATGTCCAACTTTGTTCTCTTTCAGGATTGTTTTGGTTACTTGGTCCCCTGAGATTTCATATGGATTTTAAAACAGATTTTAAAACAATTCTGTCAAATAAAGTGTTTGAGATTTTGATAGGAATTGCATTGAGTCAGTAGAATTCCTTGGGGAGTATTCATTTCTTAATAATGGTATCAATTTATTTTTGAAGCACTTGGAGAGCAAACAAAATCCACCCATAAGAGATGTTATCTCTGTTCATTAGTCATTCAGTGAAAGCAAATTTTAGAAGATAGTTATGTAGAAAGTAGTGTTGGGAATGTCCACAGTAACACATTGCATTCTGGATAGTAAAGAGCCCTGAATTTTGTTGTTTAGATTATCTCAAGAATATAAGAAATCTAGGCCGGGCGCGGTGGCTCACGCCTGTAATCCCAGCACTTTGGGAGGCCGAGGCGGGCGGATCACGAGGTCAGGAGATCGAGACCATCCCGGCTAAAACGGTGAAACCCCGTCTCTACTAAAAATACAAAAAATTAGCCGGGCGTAGTGGCGGGCGCCTGTAGTCCCAGCTACTTGGGAGGCTGAGGCAGGAGAATGGCGTGAACCCGGGAGGCGGAGCTTGCAGTGAGCCGAGATCCCGCCACTGCACTCCAGCCTGGGCGACAGAGCGAGACTCCGTCTCAAAAAAAAAAAAAAAAAAAAAAGAAATCTATATAACAAATCAATAATAGATGAGTGCTCTTAGAAAATGCAAACTGAACTACGGCTGGGTTCACTAATCTGCCCACTAAATGTAGTTCAGAGGGTTAAATTCACCCTGCCTTAGGTGAGCAGAAAACATCAAAACACCCTGTCATTTTGCAGAAACAACTCTAGATCTGGAAGTTGGAAAATGGAGAGTAATCATTCAGGTAGTTCATTTGCTAAAGAAGCAAAAGTAATAAAAATGATAATCAAAGTTATAAAGAAGAAATGTTTCCTGAGTTTAAGAATAAACATACATATTTATATTTAAAAAAATCATCGATATCTTGAAAAAAGTGAAATACTTATAAACAGATACTCTGTGGGAAAAAGTTATAGGTACACAGAGAAAAAAAACAGCTACCACAATCTTAATAGTATCTAGCCAGAATATAACAGTAGGTTCCCACAAAGAAATAAAGCTCAGGCTGCCATAATTCTATTTCATATCAATAAAACTTAGAAGACAATAGAACAGCGTCTGCAGAGGATTAAAGGAAGAATTTTTTTTACCCAAGAATTTCAAATCAAACAAAATTCTCTGTCAATGTGAACATAACCAAAAGACATTTTCAGATATGAAAGGTTTCAAAAAACTTAAAACATATGTATATTTTCTCATAAAAAATTTGAAGACACACCCCATTGGACTTAAACATGAAGCAAAATTAATAACTAAGAAATGGAGAAAATATAAAATAAATGTGTTTGCGGAATAGCTGACCTGGACCCAAGCTAGCTGGCTAATAGTAGGTATCATCACACAGCCACAGGAGAAATGGAGGAAAATAGGCTCAGTGTCCTCTGAGGAACTTTTTGTTGCATGGTAAAATAGTGATATGCTGCTTTGCACAGTGCTTTTTTGAGAAGCTTGAGTTCATACTTATGAGGCTGCAGGTTAAACAAAAGAGTAATACAGCAAAAGATAGGTAGAATTGAGTCTTGACTTCCTAATTTGTGTCCCAAGGCTATTACCTCAAAGTGTCTCAGAAAATAATATACAGAAGGCCGGGCGCGGTGGCTCACGCCTGTAATCCCAGCACTTTGGGAGGCCGAGGGGGGCGGATCACGAGGTCAGGAGATCGAGACCATCCTGGCTAACACGGTGAAACCCCGTCTCTACTAAAAACACACACACACAAAATTAGCCGGGCGAGGTGGCAGGCGCCTGCAGTCCCAGCTACTCGGGAGGCTGAGGCAGGAGAATGGCGTGAATTCCCGGGGGGCGGAGCCTGCAGTGAGCCGAGATCGCGCCATTGCACTCCGGCCTGGGCGACAGCGAGACTCCGTCTCAAAAAAAAAAAAAAAAAAAAAAAAAAGAAAATAATATACAGAAAAAACAGTGCTTCATTGAGTACCTCTCACAAAATATGCTAAATGAGGCTGAATGTTAACTATATTTAAAACTTAAATAAACATTTTTGTAATAAATCAACAATAGGCCATTGTTCAAGTACAGAAAGCAAGAGAACTGACTTGTTAGTTCTTCATGGAACTGAGGCTGATCACAGCTCATTAGAAACAGAGAGAGAGTGGTCTAATTTCATTCTGATTTGGTAACATCACATCTGAATCTAGGTTTTGGTGCCGGCAACAGCAAGGTTAGAGTGGGACTAATAGCGAGAGACCACACCTCTCCTCTATAGCAGAGTTCTGGGAGCCAGGTGGGTCTGGGAACCTGCTGTGTGGTCAAATCTTCTGGTGAAGGGAGTGGACAAGTAATTTCTAATGTGAAAAATATAAATGTGCAGGGATTGGGCAATAGGTGGATCATTACAAGAATTAGTGGTTGTGGTTTCAAACTGAAAACTAGATAATGGAGGAAGAGATATTTTTAAAAAGGGTCACTTTAAAGTTTTCATGTCAACATATATGACATATTTATTCTGCAGAGCAAAAGTGCCATATCCGCAGGGGACTGAACATACTCTGCCTCTGGTGTGTCGGCCAAACCCTTCACACTTGTCTGAGGTCCAGGCAGGGCCAAGGCCCAAGGAAATGCTGGCAGGAATCTGATCTAGAAAATTTACTCGTGTCTCCAGTGCTGTCAAAACTTCTTTGACATTTTTGGCCTGGTGAATGAGAGAATAAAATTTGATTTTGCCACACAGATCTTGTACTGTAACCCTCCAAGGTGAAGAAATTTCTAATTTAATAGTATGTTGGTCAAACATTCCCAGAGCCATCTGTGGCTGCTCCAGTGGAAGTTTGGCCTGTCTCTGTTGGGCAGCTAGTCTGTTCAGATTATTCCAATAGACTACAGTTCTTACCCAAAAGATGAGTCAAGTAATTCTGGGGCAAGAAAAGGCTCTTTTCATACAGTCTTTTAAGCCAAATGCAGATGATTCCCTGTAATCTGATTTTGGAATTATCCATGCTCCTACTCCCTTTATGGATGGTTAAAATTGGAAATACCGATGACTAAGGTCAAAGAAACACTGAGGTTAAGAGCTTGTGTGCAGATAGGTGGCAAGAGTGTGGATTTGAATCTAGTGTTGGGCCACAACTTTGCTTCAGAGTTACCGTACTACAAAGGAAATCTACTTGTTTTATTAGTGAGGCCCTACAGCTCCAGGCCAAACTTTGGTCCAGAAGCTGCTACCTTTATTAACCTTTTCCTTCCCACCTCATGCCTCTTACCCCAATACCTCTACTCCTTATCCAGAGAACCACCTGTAGGAAGGACTCTGGAATGGGGCCACGTTAAAGGGATGTAATCATTTTGATTTTATTACTTCTCTCCAAACCTGTGGCTTATAGCTGTTTTCCATTCATCAAAATAATGACAGCCCTTTTGAATTAAACATGATTTTCCTTCTCAGGAAACAGAAGCTCAAAGGAAACATCAGAGTTAATTAGGGAAAGTGATATTGTAGCTGCTCACAGAAAGAATCCCATCAAAGGCAATGTTAAGGGGGATCCCAAATCATCAAAGCAGAGTCATTCAGTTGCAAATTGCTTTCTATTTCAGCTTCGTAGGGCGGACGATGTTCTGGGATCTTGCTGGGCTGCAGTTTGGCCAGCATAGTACAGGAAGAAGGCTGGGATGCAAACACAGGGCTCTACTAGTGGTGTCTAAAGAGAAGACCAGATGTCCCTAGAGGGGGAAAAAAAAGCTTGAAGATGGCCCATCTCTATGATTTTGAAGTTCACAAGGATTAACTTAGAGGATTCTCATTGTATGAAGTTTTTGTCTGAGTGGTGTCAAATAGGTTGTTTATTCTGTTATGTGTGCAGAAGTACTTGGTTTCTTGGTATCTTAGTTTGTTTACATTTCTATAAAGAGATAGCTGAGGCTGGGTAATTTGTAAAGAAAAGAGAGTTTTTTGACTCAAGTTCTGCAGGCTGTACAAGAAGCATTGCACCGACACCTGCTTCTGGTGAGGGTGTCAGGAAGCTTCTTCTCATGGAGGAAAAGGAAGGGGAGCCGGCATCACATGGTGAGAGAGAGGTGAGGAAGATGCCAGGCTCTTTTTAACAATCAGATCTTGTGGGAACTAACAGAGTGAGAACTCATTCATTACTGCAAGGACAGCACCAAGCCATTTATGAGGGATCTGCTACCATTTCCCAAGTACCTCCCACCAGGCCCCACCTCCAACATTGGGGATCAAATTTCAACATGAGATTTGTTGGAGACAAATATCTAAATTATATCACTTAGGCTTCCAATTCAAATTTACCAACCTGCCACGTACAAGAGTCTGTGCTAGGTACTGGCTCCCTTGTCCACTTCAAATACTTTGACAGGGCCTGTTTTTGATACCCAAAGTGATTGAAAAGATTGAAATCCAAAAGTGTTTGTGTATGTGTGTTTTGATTGGTTGTGACTTTGGCACAACTGAAGTAGACAACATTCTCCTCCTGCTTTAGGGTTTATAATATGCACTGTAAAATCAGTTTACTGATGTAATATTCATTTGCTTCAAGTCTCTCTTAGTCTTAGATGGGTTTCTCATTCCAGGTACAGATGCTCCCTCTCCTCAACTGCTGAAACCCTGACAGGAGCAGTCTGTATTTTTTCTTTTCCAATGTAGTAGTCGTCCACGTAGTACTTGCACACTTTGAGTTCTACTTCTATTGTTCCTCTGACAGTGCTCACACTAAGGTGACCCATGGTGTCTAGTCACTCATCTACTGAAATATTTTAGATCTGTCTCCCTTTGCCTTCCTGGCAGCAGTCACGCTGTAATATGGTTTGGCTGTGTCCCCACCCAAATCTCATCTTGAATTGTAGTTCCCATAATCCCCACATGTAGTGGGAGGTGCCTGGTGGGAGGTAATTTAATCATGGGGTTGGTTACCCTCATGCTATTCTCGTGATAGTGAGTGAGTTCTCACAAAATCTGGTGGTTTTATAAGGGGCTTTTCCCCTTTTGCTAGGCATTTGTCTCTCCTGTTGCCTTGTGAAGAAGAACATATTTGCTTCCCCTTCTGCCATGATTGTAATTTTCCTGAGGCCTTCCCAGGCGTGAGGAACTGTGAGTCAACTAAACCTCTTTCCTTTATAAATTATCCAATCTTGGGTATTTCTTCTTATAACAGCATGAAAATGGACTAATACACACTGTGACCACATACTCCCCATCTTTTAATCTCCTTGTCTATTATTTCCCTCTGCTTTTTTACTATTCTAATTCTCTTGAATGGCTTTCTAACAATTTTTTTCTCAACTCTTTTTCTTTGACTGCTTTGCTTTTAATTTTTTGATTCTTTGTTTAATCATAATCAAAATAAGGTTCATATATTCCAATTGCTTCATATGTCTCTTAAGTCTCTTTTAGTCAATTAGTTGGCAAATGTTCTCTGGAAAGGCCCAGATAGTACATATCTTAGTCCTTAGGGGCCATATAATCTCTGCTGCAACTAGTCAACTCTGTCACTATAGCACAAAAGCAGTCATAGACAATGCATAAATGAATGGACTTGGCTATATTCCAATAAAACTTTATTTACAAAAACAGTGTGGTGGCCCTATTGACCACAGTTTGCATACCACTGTTTCAATCTATAGGTGCTTTTGTTCTCCTATTTCCCCTATACAGTTTATTTGTTGAATACTTTGTATCATTTGTTTTATAGAATTTGCTATAGCTGAGTTTTGCAGGTTACATGTTCCTCTGTTGTCTGTATTTCCTGTCAATTTGTAAGAGATCTAGGGGCATGATCAAACCAGTTTTTTGCTTTTTTTTTTTTTTTGGCAAGACTACTTTCAAGGAGGTGATGTGTATTTCTGTCACCTGGTACATAATATGAGGTTGATTCTCCTTTTATGATGCTAGGAGCTATTGATGACCATTTCCTAGATCCACTGCTTCATCAGGGCTTTGCAAAGCAGTGCCTTTACACTTATGTCATTCCTTCTTCATTTACTAGCTGGAACATGTCTCTAAAGAAAATTTTTCCCTCATCAACTGTTTTCTTATCCAGAAATATATCTTATATAGGAAAGGCAGGATAACTGATTATTTCCCTTGAATTGTCAGCTATCAAAATTTGAGTTACATAGAATCATCCAAAATTGACTACTAAGGGCATTTTTTTTTTCTTTTGTATAACTTTGAACTCATGGATTTATTAGTATTTGAAGTGATTCAAACCATTGAATTAGTTGTGCGTTTATGGACCAGTGGGACCTTCTTCAAGGTGGTTCTTCCATTCTTTTGGTGAGCCCTCAGTGGGTTTTAAGACATTCTTTCCTCCAGGTATGAAAAAAATGTCCAGCACATCTTATACATTTGTTGCTCTAGACCTGAAATCAAGAACCTTTCTTCTTTTTAGTGGAAAGTATTAGAGACTGCAATCTGAGCCCTGAGATGTTTATTACTATCTACTTTATCTTTATTTCTAGTTTTGTTCAGTGAGTAAAGCTAGGAAATAGTGTTTTAAAGTTAATATCATCATGGGTTCATATACAAGACCACAAGGATTTTACTGAACTGTGGTTATTTTGCATCCATTCAAATTATTTATTTTAAAATCACCAAAAATTCTTTCTCTTTGTATTATGTCACTGTGGTGGTTATGACACCAAATCAATATAAAGTTATATTCATTTGTTTTATTCATTTTTTTATTTTTAGAAATTTTAAAATTTAATTTTGTTTAATAATTCCATAAACATTTTACAGAATTCCACAGTCAAAGTTATAAACCTGAGAAGTATAATTTTTCTCTTTGATGCCTGCCCTTCTGTTTCTTCATACCATTTACTGGTAACCATTAATATTTTTGGTTTGGTTTATCCTTTTTTTTTTTTTTAAAAAAAGCAGAGAGTCATATATCTATATCATGGTCTCTTCTTAGATGAATGGGGATATCCTAGAAATCCTTTTTCCACATTGCCTTTTTACTCAGTAATATATCCTGGAGATTATTTCACAGCTGTGTATGAAATATCCTCACATCCTCTTTAGAGATACATAGTTTTTTCATTGTATGGGTGGACCATAGTTTATTCAACCATTCTTCTGTTAATAGGTATTTAGGTGATTTTCAGTTTTGTCAATCAGATATCTCTACTCATCTCTACTTTGCTGATCATATATCTCTACTTAACAAGATAACTTATGTAGTTGTCTTATATTTTTGCCAATATATCGTCTAGAGTCTTAGAAGTTGGATTGCCAATTGAAAGGGTTGAAGTGCATAAAAATTTGCTAGATATTGCCAATTTACCTTTCACATTGGTTTTTACCCTTTGATATTCCCACCAGTGATTTCTAAGAATGCCTTTTCATAGACTTCTTAAGAATATGTTGTCAAGCTTTTTGTAATTTTGGTAATATGATTGCGAAATGTTATCTGTGCAGTTTTAATTTTCATATCTCATTATGAGTGAGGCTAGACATCTTTTCATGTGTTTAAGGCACATTTATTTTCTCTGAACTTGCTCTTAGAGTCTCTTATGAGATTTTTCTTGACGTTTGTCTCCATTTTTAGAAAGTTTTTATATATTAGGGATAATTAGGAATAATAACCTTTGCAATATAAGTTGCAAGCCTTCTTTGTCATTTATTATATCTTTTGGAATTCCTTGTGGTTATTTTTGCCCTGTAGTTTGTTTTCATTTTAGTGTTGTCAAATATATAAATCCTTTTTCTTAAAGAATTTGGATTTTGTGTCATAGTTAAGAAAATTTTCACAGTCCCAGATTATGAAGAATTCACCCATTTTTTTGTAGTCTGTGTAAGATTCATTTAATTTTTTACCATTTAAATACTTGTTCCATTTGGAATAAATCTTAGAGCCCAATATGAAGAATAGATCCAATCTTAATTATGTGGTGATCCAACAAAACTTATTAAATAATCATTTTTCTCCTACTGATTTGAGATACTGCCTTTACTGTGCACTATATTTCCATATAAAATTACGTCTATTTTTGAATTTTTTATTTTTATTGATATATTTGTTTGTTCATTCATTAGTACTACACTGTCTTAATTATAAAGGTTTTATAATTAACTTTATTATCTGAAAGGGCTACCCACCACATCCCCACTAGCCTTCACTCTTCCTTTCCTGGATTTTTGTGGCTACTCTTGCTTTCCTGTTCTTAGAGATGTATGTTATAATTAAGTTTTATAGCTACAGGAAACAATATGAAGGAATTGGTATTGCTAATTCATTGAATTTATAAATCAACCTAAGGAAGATCTTTGTTATATTGATTCCTTCTAAGAACATAGTATGTCTTTTCAGTTGTTCATGGCTGAGTACATTTGACTTCTTTTTTTGCGATGGGTTGTGGGACAGGGAGACACTAAATCTTTGTTACTAGCCTGCTCCTTCTTCCACTGCAAAACCCAAAGAAACACATATCCTAGCTTTCTATTTGGAGACACACATGTCCTACCTTTCTATGTGGATTATTCTTCAAAACTGATATGAATTTGAATTTCACTGGCCATGTGCACCTGGGGCTCCTGTATCACGCTGTTCAGTATAGCATTACTGGAAACCCAGGGCTGCTGGTCAGAAGATATGCAGTAGCATCTTCTGTTGAATCTTTTTTTTTGTACAGACCAGGCATAATCCCATTAGTCGTGAGAAATATTTGGAAAGTTGGGTGACTCCTAGAGACTCCTAGTTGGTAGAACTCCACTTTAAGCTGCCAATCATGTTTAAGAAAACTAAAATCAGAAAGGCTGAGCTTGCAAAAACTGTCTCAAAATGACAGGCATCAGTCCCTCTTTCCAAAATTTTATGTAATCCTCTAAAACTGACAGTGGCACAGAAAAAGAAATATAGTAAGCAAAGAGACTATTTTGCTGTGAATCAGAACACCTAAACCTCCCTGCCTTTCCCACATTCCCTGCGGTGAAATTGGAACTTTAAATGGAACCTTAATAATGGAACAATCTCCAGGTTTATTGATTTTCTTCAAGTTCATTAACCTACTCAGGTGTGGTTTTGCTTTCCAACATAAAGCAGAGTCTAATTCTGAGTCCTCGATGTTAAGTTATTTGAAGTGCTGAAAGGAACATAGAAGTTAGTTGGAAACTAATTCAATCAGCTGTAGTTACAAGCAGAAAGCAATATAAGTATTCATTAGAAAATATTTGTTTACTTAATGCTACAAAGCATAAGAGATAGTTTTCAAATATATATAAAATAAAATTGACTTACTGTAAGGAATTAAATACCAGAGCCAGGGGAAATTTAAATCTGGACACAATGTTGAGGTCCTTGGGTAGGGGATGGAGTTGAAAGCATTAGAATTCAGAAGTACTGAAGAATCTCAGATATTTATGACTGATGAGGTGGATATTCATTTCTAAATTTCCTAGAGTCCAAGATAAAAAGAAAAATATAGTAAATAACTTCATTTTCTATGTAGGAGGTATAAAATGGTGGACTTATACTGTCTTCAACAAAAACTTTACTAAATGTACTAACATCTCTATTGCTCCTTCTTGTGGCAGCTGTTAACATCAGGCAAAATCATGATGCTAAAGTATGAAGGATGATTCAAATGGAGATTCTGAGACAATATGATTCAAAATGAGTGTTCAGCTAAGCTTGCAGTCTCAATAACCATGAAGTAATGCCTTGTAGGGGGCCAAGAGGAAAAGAGATATTTGAGAATGATGACTGTTAAATTATTCCGAATTATAAAATCACGAGGTATTTAAAGTCAGCTACTCTCAGAAGAGCCAATGGAACCATGCTTTATTATTTCTAGAAAACCAAAATTATTAAAGCTTTTTTCCTGCATTGCTTTTTTACTGCTTTTATGGTCACACCAAAGCCCTGAAGGATGCCCTTCTTTAAAAATACAATTTTTGGTGTCACATGGGTGGGGCCCAAAGCCCACAGCATTGAAACCCAATGGAATTGTGAATCCCTGGTGGAAGCATTAAACATCTTGTGATGGCCTCTCCATCTACGTGGTTCACAAAGCTGGGGTGGAAAGTCTGCAGAGTGGCCGACTGTTAATGGACATTGCTGGCTACCTCACACTTTTCTGGAAATTGTGCATTGGAAAATATATGTTTTTATTTTTATTTTTTTGGCTTGGTAATGGTTGCTGTGCAAAGCATCCCAATATCAAATTTATTGGCTTCATTAGTAATTAGTAAAGGTTTTATGAATAAACTGATGGCACATAAATGTTTAGTTTATGCTATACACTGCTTCCAAATCATAGTACTTGCTGTGATTTATGAGATAAAATGAGAATGGAAAAATATGGGCTGCAGTGTGCATTGCCAGTGAAAAAAAGCAGTTGCGCGGTCCTTTAATAGTGTCACACCGGGCCTCCCACTAATGAAGAGAAAGAGGTCTGAAGGGCACCTGCCATTAGAGCAATTCACCAACTTTTGCTGGCTGGAAATCAGGGTCTGGGTGTCTCTTCAGATGGTGTGGGTGTACTTGCCATGCTGACATTTAAGTTCCTACAGTAGCCTACAGGTCAAGGGAGACCTGGGAACTGACTTCTCCAGATCAACATTGCAGATGGCACAGAAGCCTGGGAGCTCCTTTTTCCTAGCCTTTCTGCTGTTTGAACTGCTCTGTCTGTTTTTCTTTATAGAAGTAAAACAAGAAGAGGATTGGGCATCCTTAAGTGAGGATAAATAAAGCCTTTGTTTATTTATTTATTTTTCCCTTTCTACTATTTCCAAAGCATCCTTTGGAAATACTTGATGGAAACACTGCTGGCTATTTGTATGACTGTTCTCACTCTGAACAGGGGAAGAGGTATTGCTTTTGGAGTCACATGGAGTTGTGTTCAGATCTTACATCTGCCGCTTAGCTATGTGAGCAAGTTATGTCACTTCTCTGAGCCTCACTGCTCTGTGAAATGGGAACAGTGCTTCTTACCACAGAGGTTTGTTGTAGGGTTTAAATGAAATAAATCATGCAAAGTACATTGTGCAGTACTTGGCACACAGGAGGCCCTCGGTAAAAGTTTGTGCTCTGACCCTTGTCATAATTAGATACCAGATCCAGGCTCCTTTAAAGGCAGTGCCACCCTGAAGGCATTCATAAAGTTGATGCAAGTTTTACAAAGCCATGCATTATTCTGAGAATGGCTCTGACTTTGCACTGCTGGCTCATGCAGAGAAAGCTAACCTCCTGTAACCTGGCAACTGAGGAGACTGAGGGACTTCCAGAACCCTGGGGCTGGCTGGGGGAACTCTCTGGAATGGGGATTTTGTTTTCTCCAGAGGCAGGTGTCTTCTCCTAGAACTAGACAAACAGGAGCACTGGTTGTGACGTTAGGTTATGGAGAACCAGCAGCTTAACTAGGCCTTAGGAGGAAATGGACCTCATGGGCCTTCTATGGCTCAGCTGAATTCTCAGAACATTGTCTGGGCTCCTGTAGATAATTAGTCTTGAGACTTACAATAACCAATCTCATCAAACACCAACATGTAAACCAGGTGCCGAATTACTTTGTGTTGTGATGAGTATTCATTCCTCCCACCTAGATCCCTCCCCATCAAATATCATGGGACCCTATGAGCAATTAAGAATCATCAAAATAATCCAAAGAACCACCATTTATGGAGTGCCCACTGTGTGCTCAATACAAATATTTATCTTTTAAAAAATAACTTCAAATTTTATTTTATTTTAGATTCATGGGGTACATGCACAGGTTTGTTACATGACTATATTGTGTGATGCTACGGTTTGGGGTATGGATCCTATCACCCAGATAGTGAGCACAGTACCCAACAGATAACTTTTAAATCCTTGCCCCTTCTCCCTTCACCCTCTAGTAGTTCCCAGCATCTATTGTTGGCATCTTTATGTCCATGAGTACCAATGTTTAGCTCCTACTTATAAGTGAGAACATGTGGTATTTGTTTTGCTGTTTCTGTGTTAATTCGCTTAGGATAATGGTCTCCAGCTGCATCCACAAACATTTATCTTAATCTTAGGTTGGGTTTCCCTAAAAGCAGGGCCTGGGACCAGAGCTTGTATGCAGTTATTTTGGATGTGACCCAGGAGATAGGAGTGAGGGGGCTGGAAAAAATAAAATAGTGGAGAAAGGAAGACATGCCAAGGATGTGTTATTGGGCTGGTTTTTGTAGTAGACAACTGGGCATCAATCCCGCTGGAGACTCTGAATAGGCACTTCAGAATGTCTGCCTATGACTTAGACATGTTCATTTTCTGATTTCTGTCCACCATTGGTCATATGTTACTCCAGGGGTATTAACTCTTTCTAGCTTCTAGGTGTGTGCATGTGCCAAAATGGCTGATTAGACTCCTGTAAGGCATCCCACAGCAAGGGGCACGGAAGATCAAGGACAGGATGCAGGTGATGCTTGGTGCAGCTGAGCCGAGGTGCTCTGAAGCTGCTGCTCTGTGCAACCAGTGGCTGCATCAATAACCAGATCAAAAAAGTAATCTGAGAGGATGTGAGACAGGGCACAACCTGCAATCCTCATAGCAGCCCCTCAAGGTGGATGATACTGGTGTCACTTCACTGATGGAATAAATGATACTTAGAGAAGGGAAATAACTCACTTAAGGTCTAGTGGCTCAAATGGCAGGGCCAACACTGAAATGTAGGCTTGGGTTAACTTTAAAACATGTGCCATGTGACTTCTCTGCCATGGCCCTAGACTAGACACCTTACAATTGTCCCTCTAAATTCCCTCTTCTGCTTCTCTACCCCAAGATGATGATCTATAGGGAGTTTGTCAAGGTGCTCTCTTTGCCTCTGGCTTCTGGCTGGGGTGGCACAAAGGGGAACACCAGCAAGTGGTCAAAGAGAGAAAGGAGGATATGGTTGGGGAAGTTATTTCTTTCACTCCCTCCTTGCCAGGTTGCATGCAATCAGCTACGTTTCCAGTTGGAAGATTGCAGCTCTTCCCAGGCTGTGTCTCTCCACGCTTCTCTTTCCACCTAAGTTCTTGTGGATGCTGCCTTTCCTTGCCCCTTGAATCCTGGGAGGGGAGGCAATATTAATAGTCTACTGTGATTTCCTCACACCCTGCCCTCACCTTTGTAAACAGTCACTTCATAACACCTCTTAGAATTATCCTAGTTTGAGTGTGCTATGTACTCCTGGGACCCTGATTGATACAGCCACCTCCCAGATGTGGGTGGAAAAGAGCCACGGATTGATCTCTGGTTAGGTCTGCCTCCACGTCACTTACCCACAGGAGAAACAATCTCTCAAGTGGCCAAAGACAGCTTGCAGGCAAGACCCCATCTGTCCACATAGCAAGCAATGCTGAGAAAAAGCAACACATCATTGCTCATGATTTCCCCTGATCTGTCTTCTAGGCTGACAGACATCTTCTCGTCCACACAATTTCTCTCCGATATAATAATATCTCAACAATAAAAGCTTAACTTTCAGTTATATTTAGCTTTGATGTCACAGCCCATCTCTGCCTTCTTTAGTTGAGGTGACATCTAATTTTTGAGGTGCTCCTGCATGTGGTTAATCTCCTTAGTTCCAGATGAATTTTGCACATTTTCCTCATGGAGAATCAGAGTATATCCAAGTACTTGTGAGAGAGAGAAGAGCCCTCTTTCAATTCAATTCATCAGGTGGTAAGCGTGTTGGACTGATGCACCAACTACCTCCTTAAAGTCCAGAACATCTTCCCTTCAGTGGCTGGACTAGGCTGGGAGGATGGGAAAGGTGAGCCCTCCCTGCAACTGAAATTCCACTTGCATGCCTCTCAACACCTCTAGGTGTTGGAGAACTCACTGCATTCATTTTGAATAAAAAGAGACCGGCTCTGGGTTTGAACAAACATGTTTTTATTCAAGGTTTAAACATTTATTTTATGGCTCCCCTGCTGGGTTTCTGATTGTTTCCCTTTCCTCGGAGCATGAATGATTGTTTATTAAACACAATAATAATAATAAAGTGGAGGTAGGGTCTCTTAGCTGGCATTAGTTCAGATTCTAATTTAATCCTTCCCCAGCCTCACTTCATTACAACTCTATTCCGTTGCGTATTTCATAACCAGCATGTGTCACGGTGAATGAAGTCAAGCTTCAGAATAACATGTCAGTAAGATGATTGTTCATGGAACACACAGTACCCCTAGTCTATGATTAAAAAAGAAAGCAACCTGGCTCAAAAAATAAGAAATTTGCTTCACTACATAGAACCCAGGAGCAAAGGCCTCTTTCCTGCCTTTTTCCTGTTCCCTGAATATCAGGGCAGGGAGTGATGTTTCCTGGCCTCCTAGGGGTGAGAGGACTCTTCTGGACAGAAGGGCATGTACCTTTGATTCTTATCTTTCCAGTAACAGCACGCTTAGGCCACAGTAGGCTCTGTGTCTTATTACCGATATGACCCCAGCTCCTTCAGCTACAGAGTGGAGTGATAATAGCTACATTCCTACAGCTGTTATGCAGATTACAAAACATGATATAGTACAAGTGATTAGCAGAGTGCCTAGCACACAGCGAATGCTCAATGCATAGTGGCTGTTTTTATTATTGTGCAAGATTGCACTCCAAATAGCCTTAACAATTGTCAGAGATATTGATTGCCTCAAAGGGCAGGATTCTGGGAAAAGATAAAGATGATGTTGTTCAGAACATAGGTCTGAATATTGGTGAGCACAAAGACTCAGAAATGGAAGAAAACATCAGCAAAATAGTTTGGGGTTATAATGGGATAAAAGGACATCTTTTGATTTGGGGGTTGAACTCTCCAAGAACATGTTCAAATTACCTAAAAAGAGATGGCTGCTAAGCTGTTATGTATAAGATAAGATGGGATCGAGGAAGAGATAGGAGCCTGGGGTCTGGGAAAGGGTAGCTGGGGTGGAGTGGAGGCAGCAGGGTGTGAATTTAAAGTTAGAGGAAGTCAAAAACTTGGGAAAACAGAAATATCCAGGAGAGCTTTCAAAGCTCTTTGGTGTAAGGTATATGATAAAAACCTCTTCCCTCCTCCAGGACAGCTTCAGGCAAATCCATCTAGTTTACAAATTCTTTTGTGTGAGTGGAATTTTTAGGGAAACTGAAAGTCACTGAGTTCTACCAGCTGAGAACAAAAATAGCTTTATGAGACAGAAGACAGAAAGTAAGGCAGCTGGCCTCTGTGTTGTAGGAAGAGACACATCTTAGATGTCCTATGAGGCTGACAGTGTCTGCCAGATAGGGGCTCTGCAGCACAGGGATTGGTTGGACTCCAATTGACAGACACTCAGCCAGGCTTCACTTGTCATAGTTCAAGGTGGGTCAGGTCTAGTTTCTAATAAAGCAAGCTCCCCACTCTCTCCCACCCATCAACTCTCTGCAAGTGGTGATAATATTTTGAAATGAGATCATCTTGAGCAGAATTGTATTCTTGAGAATTTCCATTGAATGTCATGCTCTGGTTAGTTTAGAACCAAGAAACTTACTCAAGGAAAAGCTAAAATCAGGAACAGGAATATACAGTTATCCGTATCATATTATGGCCAGTTGTGGGTCCTAGCCATCTATGCTAAAGTTGGTTAACTCTGCCCAGAAACATGCAGAGCCCAGGTGACCCACCTGGGGCTGGGCTCATGACCAGGCAGTGTGTTCTAGATTTTAGACTTGGCCCACTTTTCCAACTGCATGTGAGCCTCTTAATAAACAACAGTATTTCTAAATAACAACAAGATTTTCTTGTATTCTGACACTCAAAGCACCTTGGAGTGAAAATAGATTCAGTGGTCCATTCTGACCACTGGATCTGTGGTGATGTCCCACTAGTCATGAGGCATACAGCCATACTTTTTTCTCTGGGAGGAGTGTATCCCCTGAGAGTTATCCAAGGCCTTGAGAATTTTGTTATGGGCTATTGATGGCCTTGATGTCTCTCAGCATTGACATTTTTTTCAGTCAAGCTCAAAGACATGATGTCAGGACGTCCTGGTCGCAGAAACTCCTCCATTTCTCACTTAGCCTGTCACATGGCTCCTATTGCTTAGCTAGGATTTCAGCAGCTGGGCAAAGGGACTAGGCCTCAGCTTTTAACAGCACTGAGAAAGTTTCAGTGCCTCCTTCCTTGATGCCTATCTTCCCCTGGTTTCTGGGATATTGCACTCTATGGCTGTCTCATGCCTCACTGGAAGTAATCCTTCATTTTTCTCTTTTCTCTCACTCTGCACATCCAACTGATCAGAGGATTTCCAGAGTTTGACAACTGCTCCCCTATCCTCTACCACCATCTACTCCAAGTCTCCATGGCTTGTTACCCAGTCGTGGCCAGAGGAGTCCTAAATTTCACATACAGTTTAGTCTCCAGAGTGAGTCCTTTACACAGCATTCTTGCTGGAGCCAGGGAGATTGTTGTCATATGTAAATCTAAACATGGCTCTCTTATCCAATAACTTGATATGGCAAACTAAAATTCCAAATCCGCATCAGACCCTCCAAAGTCTTAAATTATCTGGTGCCTGCTTTGACTTCATCTTTTCACCAGCAATATTGGTGCCCTCACTGTTCCTGCAGCACACCAGGGATGCTCTTGTTAGGCTGGGGGCTTTGCACTTGCTCTTCTTTAAGCCAGCACTGAACCTCTCTCACATACACTCATAGCTCAGCCCTCACTGTGTTCAGGCTTCTGTTCATCAGAGAGCTGTCGCTCACCCTCACCACCTCCCATTGCTTTCTATACTCTTACATTTTTTGTTCTTCATAGAATTATTTCTGTTTTCATATTACATATTGATCTCCCTTCTCTAAAGTATAAGCTTGGTATGTTTTGTTCACACCCTATTCTTAACACCTAAAATAGTGTCAGACACAAAATAGACACTCCATAACTATTTGCCAAATGGATGAGGGTACAGGTAAATTAGGGGATGAGAAAGTACATGGACTCCTAATGTGAAGAACATTCATATACAATAGAATTGGATTCATTCAAACTTTTCTATAAGCCAATCAATCTCTTAGGGAAGGAGCCCCCATTGTCACTTGGCAATGTCCCTGGATCTGAAATAGGTGGGGTGCAGCAGTGGTGGAGAGTCATGGACAAACTGATATAGAAGACCCCATTTGTTCATTTTATTTAGCTTGTTCTAGAGTCTTTGGACTAGAAAAGCTATGGATATGAGCCTTGCTTCTGATATAGCAGCTGTTTGTTCTTGGGAAAGTTACTTAACTTTTTGAGCCTGCGTTATGCAAAACTGCAAAACTGGGATGTATATAGGGCCTCCCTCACACAGTTATTTTCCAGATTATATATATATATATGTATATATCCAGCACATAGTAAATGCTCAATAACGAGTAGCTGCTCTGATGATGGGGATAATGATGGTGATGAGGATGATGATAGTGGTGGTGATGAAGAAGGATGATGATGCTGTCACTGGGAAGGCCATATTGCTTAGAAAAAGATATGAGCCCAGGAACAGGAGACTGGTTGTTCAAGGCTTCCCTCTAGCTGGGCTGATAAGAGTCATAGAACAAAGACATATTGGATAAATACTTCTCATCTGTCAATAACCTTCTCCTACAATGAAGCTCTTCCATCCAGGCCCAGGTCCTCTGGGCAAGTATGGTGAGAACATGACTTTGTATTATTCCCAGCTCATGGTTGCAGAGCCACTGCAGGTGTTAGCAGCTGTGATTGGATGACACATGGAAGGCAAATGATTCAGACTCACTCTCAGCTCATTGTTCTTCTGCAAAAGTCTGTTGACATTCACCCTCCCGGGCAGTTAGAAACGTAAAGACCTCCAGGTCTTGTTCAGAGCAGAGCCAGGCATTCTGTAGCTCACACAACTCCCCATGGCCCCAATGTCTGCCTCACTGTCATCACTGGTCTCTTGCTGTGTGTGGCCAACTACGTCTCCCTGTCTCTCTAGGTCTTTCTCTTTCTTTCTCCTTCTACTTCTTCCTCATTTTCCCTTTCTCCTCCTCTCTTGGCTCTTCTCCTATTCTCCTTACTTAGATATTCCTGGAGCACTTTCTATCTGGATTTTTTAAATAGCTTTGATGCAGGCCATCCAATTGTTTTGGGGGATTTTTCTGGTATGAGACTCAATCTCCAGAAACAGACATTTTGATACCTACCTACATGTTTTTCAGATGACAGACTTATCCAGTTTTTTTCATAAATATTTTAAATAATTGCTGTTGAAAATTGCTCACAATATCCAAAGGAAAATATTCAAAGTATTCACTCTCCATGGTATCTGACAGGAAAACTGCCTGCCTGTTGGAACAAACAAAATAAGCTTGTCAACGATTTCTATAGAAATTTTCTATTATTTCCCTCCCACATAAAATCCTATAAAACATTTTTTCTGGTGCAGCAACTTAAAAAATAAAAGAGGCTGGAGAGGATACAGCTATCTTACTGAATGAGAAATAATTTTTCTACTCTAATTATTTCCGTTCTGCTGGTCTCCTCTAGTGTTGGGAAACAGGGAGATAAAATACTCTTTATTTCAACCTATTCTGGTAATTTAGATAATGACAATAATTATAAGACAGGAAAAGATGTTTATAAGGTGACCCTTTTCTAACTTCTATAGAAGAGCTCAAAGTAAACAAGGAAGATGACAAATTATTACTCCAAGCCCTGTGGTGAGTGCTTTACATCTTTGATCTAATTGAATCCTAGAAATCCTTTAACAAGTACCCACAAATAGATGCGTGCACATAAATGTATGTACACATGTCCACAGTTATCTTAGGGGCTTTAAAGGTATACCATCTGAGGCTGCAGGGAGATGCCTTACAGTAGAAGGATCTGGGTTGGGAGTTGGGAGGAGGCTCTGTTTTGGACTTGCTTCAATCCTTCCCCACTGGATTTTCACATCCTGAGAAGTTGCTCTTTAAAATTTTGTTTAAATTGACATAAATAACCATACATATTTATGGGATACAGTGTGATGTTTCCATATATGTATACATTGTGTAACGACCAAAGCAGGATTTTTAACATATCCATCGTCTCAAATTTGGATTCTTTCCTTATGGTGAGAATGTTCAAAATCCTCTCTTCTAGCTATTTTGAAATATGCCATACAGTATTGTTAACCACAGTCCCCCTGCTGTGCAACAGAACACTGGGACTTTGAAGGGATCCTATCATATCACTTTCCCCTTTGATATTGCTACTGCTAGGGAGCGCCTGACTAGAAAGTCAGGCAAGGCGGGACTGATGCCAGAGCAATCCTGGCCCCAGGGTGGGCTTGGCTGGAGCCCAGATGTTGCCCCTGTAGCTGAGGGAAAAATTATTAGCAATACCCCAACCCAGAGAGGGGCCAGCCTTTCCCTCCAGGGCTTCTCATGGTTAGTGCTGGCAGAAGGTCTTGTCCTTCAACTTCAATTCAGCAGATAGAAGAAAAAGCCTATGTATCAATTACATGTCAGAGGGAGAGCTAAGAGCCATGCTCTGGGGTTGCTGTGTGGGTGGTCCCATGTAAGTAATTACACTGTCCACTTCCAGGATCACAGCTTTCCCTGGAGCCTTTTGGGAATGAGACTATAAATAGCTCTAGCTTTGCTTGCAGGGAGGTGACCCTCCCAATACAGTTGGCTACAGAAAAGAGCAGAGGAAGTGATAGACCCTGTGTGGCAGCACCTGCAAAGCGTGGTGATAAGCGGTAAGTGGTGGGAATGACATGGAGGGCAAGGAAGCTAGCAGTTGGTATAGTCCCCTCCTCAGACTCCTCCTGCGGACCAGGCTGCCATTACACAGCCTTCCCAGGCAGGGCCAATCTCAGCCGTGCAGAGAGCATCTCTAGCGGACTGTGCTGGGACCCGGGGTCACAGGGCTTCCCTGGGCACAGGGATATCCGTGGTTCCCTGGAGCACAAAGCATGCGCTGAGGATGAGCTCGTGTCTTCTCTGGAGTGTGAATGTTGAGTGGGAGGGCCGTGAGCAGGTGGGGCTCTCTAGGCTTCTTCCAGCCTTCTTGGGGGAAGAGGCCACAGCTTCAAGAGATGAAGAAAGGAGAGAGCCAGAAAGACCCAAAGCCAAGGAGAGAAAGAGGCAGGGGAAGGTGGCAATATGGGAAAAAATGAGAAAGGGAAAGGGAAAGATGGCAGGAGGGAGAGAAAAGAGAGGGAGAGTTAAAGAGAAGAAAACAAAAGAAAGAGAGATGACAAAGAGGCAGAGCCAGCACACAAGAAAGTAGAGAGGCCTGGGACCTTGTTTCGGAGCATCAGTTGCTGTGACAGCCATTTCTGTGCAACTCCCCGGGGCCAGTGCTCACCAGGATGGGACACCAGGAAGCTGGCTCTTATGTGCCCTTTCTCTTAAACTATCTGAGGCTGGCTCCAGTTCCAGGAGGAGCTAGATGCCGTCTATGATTCATAAAGACTCATGACTCATAGACTAGGGACTCAATCAAGCTCCTAAGTGGCCCCAAGGAGAGGCTGTCTGTGTGAGGTTGAGACCTGGAGGGTGAGAGAGCAATGATATTTGGACACATCAGCACAGAGGGTTCGTGGGGCCAGAGTGTAGAATGCTGCTGTGGTTGGAAGGCTGGTTAATGGTAAGCCTTAGGGAAGGATTCAAAGCCCAAGTAATCTAACAGTGGCATCTAAGGGCCCCCAGTTTTCTGGGAGAGGTAAGGTAGGGCTACAGGGGTCCTGGGAATTACAGCTCAGACATGGATAAGAAATTCAGCAGGCGACCAGAGGATAGGGGACAATGTAGAGTCTCTGGAGAGAAGGCCCTACTCAATTCTGCTCACTCTTAACTCAAATAGGGCCACTTCCCTTCAGTCCCTAACCCCTACCGCGCCGTATCTTTCTTCGGAGCAACTTCTTCGCTTTTCCTTCCAACCACTCTGTGAAACAGCTCTAGATAGAACCCAGGGCTGTCTGACGCCAGAGCTCATAATCTCTTTGTTTGACAGGAAAGCATCCCTGTGGCAGTGAAATCTGGGCATAAGGAGGTGAACAATGTGGGGAGTGTAGCATATGGGTTGCTCCTGTGATGGTTCCTTGTGCCAGATGGATGGAACATGCAGAGAGAGCACGCACTCAGCATGGAGATTACGAGGGTGAGAGGTGGGAAACACAGTGGAAACCAGAAGCCAAGGTTCCAGGACACACCTGCAAGAGCCCTAGCCACCAGGAAATTGGAGGAGCATACACTCAGCCTTCCTCAAGGTTGGCAGCACAACTGTTATTGAATCAAATTCATCACCTCTTTAATTTAGGATTCCTCCTCCTGACTCCACTATACTCCAACACCCAACTCAGCTGCTTTCCAGGAGCGACTCCCAGAAGTCTGTGTTTCTCTTGATGACTCTAGGCACCAGGGGATTCCTTCTGTAGATCAGTCAGAACTGAACTGGCCTTTTCATAGCAACAGGCATCTGTTTCTATGGAAACATTTGGCAGGGCAGGGAGTACTTAGTAGGGCCAGGAAGTGCTGTAGGCTTGGAAAGAACCATGTAGATATTCCTTGGTTTGCTCCCTGATTCACAACATAAATTAAACGCCTCATCACACACTGATGGTTCTAACCGGGAGTCATTATGAACAGCTCCAGTTCCAATCACTGGAGTCTGGGGTCCAATCACTACCGACAGCAATAAAAGTTATCGTCCCCAAGAAGATTCTATGTCAGCCAGCAATACCTTAGCTTTTAGGTTAAGTGACACCGAAGTGTGCATAGAGAACTCAGGAACCTGTCTCGGTGAGGTTGTCTTGCAGGCAGAAGTGTGGGAGTGGTTTGGAGAAAGAAGCCCGTGCTTTGGTTTTAAACAGGCCTGCTTCCCACTCTCACATCAACCATTTGGCACCTGACTGTCCTCAAAGATGTTGCTTACCATCTTAGGACCTCAGGTTCCTTATTTCCAAAGTGTTTCTTTGGAAATAGCAACCTAATATCCTGCATAACACCTCAGATTGCCAATTATTTGGAATTTCTTTTGTTACCTTGCTTTGATGTAAGTCTTTGAGATTTCCTCATTTATTTTTAGAAAGGCATTGGACAGGCCACCATAATATAGTAATTTTTTTTTTTTTGACAGAGTCTTGCTCTGTTGCCATGCTGGAGTGCAGTGGCACAATCTCAGCTCACTGCAACCTCTGCCTCCTAGGTTCAACTGATTCTCCTGCTTCAGCCGCCTGAGTAGCTGGGACTACAGGCATGCGCCACCACACCTGGCTAATCTTTGTATTTTTAGTAGAGACGGGGTTTCACCATGTTGGCCAGGATGGTCTCGATCTCCTGACCTCTTGATCTGCCCACTTCAGCCTCCCAAGGTGTTGGGATTACAGGTGTGAGCCACCATGCCTGGCCGTACAATTAAAAAAAAAAAATTGAAGTGGCAGAGTCTCAAGTCTCAACTTCAATTACCTTTCTTATTAAAGGTCCATGAAAAATCTTCTTTGGGGGACTTAGAATCTCCCAAGAAAATGCTATTCTGTAATAAAACTTATATTTTTGGTCAGAGTTTGTTCCTCAAAGCAATTATATCTTGTCAGCCTTAAAGAAATTCTGAGGCTACCTAGTAACAGTACAGCAGTGGCAATGTTATGTGTGAAAATGGTAGAAGATGACCATTCGAGCTTAGGTATGAATGCCATTTATTGCAGGAGTCTCAGGGTATTGTTCATATAATTGTGGGAAGGTCAGGTATGCAACTGATTCACAGGCCAACTGGAACCAGAGATTTGCATGTTGCCAGGGTCCAGTCTCTGTCCCTTAACTTATTTCTTTATCATCATCTACCACAAACTGGCTTCCTTCAGGTTGTGAGAAATGCAGTTGCTTATAATTACCGAATCTCCTGCCATTCCCTTGGGTGACTTGCATCTGTTAGTTTCAGTTGGAAAATTTGAAGGAAGAGCTACTACTGGTAAGTGGCTCACCCACCAGTGACTTCATCATGACCAACGAGTCAGGGTGACCTGGTGCAAACACATACAAGGGACCCTACCTCTGTATTTAGACCATTTCCAGAGATGGGAGAATTTTTACTTAAGGAGTTATACCAATTGGTGTCAATTCTAGACCTTTGCTGGCCATGATCATCCTACATCCACTCCTGTACTGAATGCAAACAGAATCCCAGTATAAAATAGAAGCCTAGGTTTTTAGAGAGAGAATCCAGGAAAATCTTGAGAGGTGTGTCCTGGGTTTACATATTCCAGGAGAACTAGGTTCTTTTCTTCTAACTTTTAGTTACTTCCACATCATCAAATTATGCTTCTTTCTGATCAGAAAATAGCTCCATGGAACTGGTCGGAACTAGTTACACATAACCCCAGTACATCCTGTCCATTCACATGTCACCTCTTGATATGGTATGGCTGTGTCCCCACCCAAGTCTCATCTTGAATTCCCATGTGTTGTGGGAGGAACCTGTTGGGAAGCAATTGAATCATAGGGGTAAGCCTTTCCCTTGCTGTTCTTGTGATAGTGAATAAGTCTCATAAGATCTGATGGTTTTAAAAAGAGGAGTTCCCCTGCACAAGTTCTCTCTCCTTGCCTGCTGCCATCCACATAAGATGTGACTTGCTCCTCCTTGCCTTCCGCCATGATTGTGAGGCCTCCCCAGCCGTGTGGAACTGTAAGTCAATGGAATACTTTTTCCTGTATAAATTATTCAGTCTCAGTTATGTCTTTATCAGCAGCATAAAAACGGACTAATACATCTCTTTTCCAATGTATTAGTTAAGGTTACTTTGTTTCATAATAGAATCAAAGCAAGCTTAATTACCTGTCCCCTCATACTGCCCTCCATCTGCCCACAAAACAACTATTGTACAATTAGGATTTGAGAAAAAGAATAGCCAGAGATTATGGAAATTTCCTCAAGAACAGGATCATCCTACCCTTTTTGATATGACCCATGGTAAGAACTACACTTTATATTTCACCTAGAATGCACATATACACAATTGAAATAAAACTTTTGCAAAACAATATTTACCCTTACTATCTGCAGTGCACTGCAATCTATTCTGATAGTATTTATTTTATTTTTTAAAGTGCTAGTAATCAGTTATAATTTTTATGATTTACTAATGAGTTGTATACCACAATTTTAAAATAACTCTTAGTCTAGAGCACTTCCTTTGGTATCATTCAGTGCCAGCTCCAAGTTCTTAATCTCAATTTAAATCACAAAATTGTCAAGAAAGAGAGCATGTTGAGTTCTGCTTGGGTCCAGGGACTGCCCTGTCCTAATCAAAAAGAGTGGGATTCTACACATGACTGTTGATGCCCATGTCTGTATAACACAGGGCAAATTCAGACCCTAGAAGCAGGAGAGACACTTCAGATGGTGTCTGCTACACATGGATATTGGGAATTGAGACAATGGGTCTAAGTCAGTCAGACGGTAATGGAGGCCATAGCTCCAGGGTCAGGTACAGCCAGGGCCAGAGTTGAAGCCATGACAATCCCGTTAGACCCACATGCAAGGGGACTTCATGGGGAAGCAGAGGTGGTTAAAGAAGAAGAGAATGGAGGACAGCCTCTTGACTTCCTAGGCTTCACTGGAGTCTGGACTCTGCTTACCAGAGTTGATCTCTGACATTTCCCTGTTGGAGTGAGACAAAGTCACTTGGTATGTTGGGCCCAGATCTTCTCTCTCTCTCTCTCTCTTTTTCTTTTCTTTTCTTTTTTTTTTTTTTTTTTTTTTTTTTGAGACAGAGTCTTGCTCTGTCACCCAGGCTGGAGAGCAATGGCGCAGTCTTGGCTCACTGCAAGCTCCGCCTCCTGGGTTCACGCCATTCTCCTGCCTCAGCCTTCCCAGTAGCTGGGACTACAGGCGCCCGCCACCATGCCCGGCTAATTTTTTGTATTTTTAGTAGAGACGGGGTTTCACAGTGTTAGCCAGGATGGTCTCGATCTCCTGACCTCGTGATCCATCCACCTCCGCCTCCCAAAGTGCTGGGATTACAGGCGTGCGCCACCCCACCCAGCCAGATCTTCTCTCTTAAGGCTTGAATATATGTTTTGTGGAATTCTGAATTACGCTAAGACAGAAGGGAGAGATGAAAACATTTCAGCTGAAAAAGTCAGGTGGGAAATTTCTCCAATTTTAACCCATATTTTTCTCCTTAAGCGGGGTGGGGACTCTGAGACTGTGAGAGAGACAGCATGGTGTGCACAGCTTTGTCATTGCCAGGCTCAGTGATGCTCAGGATCACTCCTCCCACAGCTACATCCGTGCCCAGGAGTGGTGGCCAAGTATGGCCAAGTCATGTTGTTATAGCATCAGGCAATAAAACATCAGACAATAAAACACAATGTACCAAATATCTTTAGTGGTGGTGAAGGCTGGGATGGAAGACAGTGTTAGTGTGGTTTAGGACTGAAGCCAGAGTGAAGTGTCTGTACAGTGAAATATTATTCAGCAATAAATAAAACTTGATTCATTCAAAAAAATGAGCTATCAAGCCAGGCAAAAATATGGTTGAATCTGCAATGCATGAAGGTATGTCTCATGTAGTTGGGCTTGGCTTCACTGCACTTTTCACAAATTGAAGGTTGTGAAAAGTGAGGCAACCCTGAATCAAGAAAGTCTATTGGCATCATTTTCAAGTGTGTGCTCAATTCATGACTCCTTGTAACATTTTGGTAATTCTCATAATATTTCAAACTTTCTTCTTATTATTATATCTGTTATGGTGATCTTTTATCAGTGATCTTTGATGTTAGTATAGTAATTATTTTGGGTGCTACAAACAGCATCCATATAAGATGGCCAACATAAATGATGAATCTTGTGTGTGTTCTGACTGCACTACTGATTGGTGATTCTCTGTATGTATCCTTCTCCTCAGGCCTCCCTATTCTCTGGCACACAACAGTATTGGAAATCAGCTGTTTAATAACTCTGAGGTAGCCTCTAAGTTTTCAAGTGAAAGGGTGAGTCTCCTGATGTCCCCCATCTCTTACATTCAACCAATATAGAAATAATTTATTTAGTGAGGAAGGCATGTTGAAAGCTGAGATAGGCTAAAAGCTAGGCCACTTGTGCCAGTTTGTCAAGGTGTGAACAAAAAGGAAAAGTTCTTGAAAGAAATTAAAAGTGCTACTCCAGTGAACATATATATAAGGAGAAAGCAAAACCTAAGATTGTTTGCTAATATGGAGAAAGTTTAATGGTCTGGAAAGAAGACCAAACCAGTCACAGCATTCCCTTAAGCCAAAGCCTAATCCAGAACAAGACCCTACCCTTTTCAATTTTGTGAAGGTTGAGAGAGATGAGGAAGCTGCAGAAGAAAAGTTTGAACCTAGCAGAAGTTGGTTCATGAGGTTTAAGAAAACAAGCTGTCTTCATAAAATACAAGTGCAAGGTAAAGCAGCCAGTGCTAATGTAGAAGCTGCAGCAAATTATCCAGAAGCTCTAGCTAAGATCATTGATGGAGATGGCTGCACTGAACAGCAGATTGTCCATGTAGATGAAACAGCCTTCTATTGGAAGAAGATGCCAGGTAAGACTTTGTAGCTAGAGGCAAGAAGTCAATGCCTGGCTTCAAAGCATCAAAGAACAGGCTGACCTTCTTGTTAGGAGCTAATGCAGAAGGTGACTTTCAGTTAAATCCAATGATCACCTGCCATTCTGAAAATCCCAGTGCCCTTAAGAATTTTGCTTAATCTACTATGCCAGTGTTCTATTCATGAAATAACAAAGCCTGGGTGATAGCACATTTGGTTTACTGAACATTTAAAACCCCTGTTGAGACCTACTGCTCAGAAAAAAATGTTTTTTTCAAAATATTACTGTACATTGACAATGTACCTCATCAGCCAAGAGCTCTGATGGAGATGTAAGAGGAGATTAATGTTGTTTACATGCCTGCTAATACAACATCCATTCTAGTCCATGGATTAAGTAACTGTAGATGTGGCAGAAATAGTAAAAGAACTAGAAGAATTAGAAGTTGAGCCTAAAGATTTGACTGAATTGCTGCAATCTCATGATGAAATTTGAACATATGAGTAATTACTTCTTATGGATGAGCAAATAAGGTGGTTTCTTCAAACTGTATCTACCTCTGGGGAAGACGCTTTTTATATTTTTGAAACAACAGCCAAAGATTCAGAATATTTTATAAACATACTTAACATAAATAGTAGCAGGATTTTAGAGGATTGACTCCCATTTTGGAAAACTTTCTGCTGTGGTAAAATGCTATCAAACATTATTGCGTGCTACAGAGAAATTTTTCATGAAAGCAAGTGTCAATTCATGCAGCAAATTTTATTGCTTTAAAAATTTCCACAGCCACCCCAACTTTCAGCAACCACCACACTGATCAGTCATCAGCCATCAAGAGGAAAGCAAGACTCACTGAAGGTTCAGACGGTTGTTAGTATTTTTTAGCAATGAAGTATTTATTTATTTATTTATTTATTTATTTATTTAAGATGGAGTCTAGCTCTGTCACCCAGACTGGAGTGCAGTGGTGCCATTTCAACTCACTGCAACCTCTGCCTCCCAGGTTCAAATGATTCTTCTGCCTCAGCCTCCTGAGTAGCTGGAATTATGGGCATGCACCACCACACCTGCCTAGTTTTTGTATTTTTAGTAGAGGTGGGGTTTTGCTATGTTGACCAGGCTGGTCTCAAACTCCTGACCTCAGGTGATCCACCCACCTCGGCCTCCCAAAGTGCTGGGATTACAGGCGTGAGTCACCGTGCCCAGCCAGCAATAAAGTATTTTTTAGATTAAGGAATGTACATTGTTTTTGTAGAAATAATACTATTTCACACTTACTAGACTACAGTACAAAGTAAACACAACTTTTATATGCACTGGGAAACCAAAAAATATGTGTGACTTACTTTATTGTGATACTGTATTTCAATGGTCTGGAAAGGAAGCCACAATATCTATAAGGTATGCTTATACTGAAAAGTAAGAGGCTAATCTAAAAAGACTACAAACAGTATGATTCAACTTATGTGATATCGTGAAAAAGGCAACACTATAGTTTTGATTTAGTTGAGATATGGTCAACCTGGATGGCTCTCAATTTGGAGAATTTCAGAATACAAAGTAATTCTTAGAATATTAGAGACACACTCAAGTTTAACAGAGAAAAGGATGAGAAATAGCATAAACATTGTGTAAGCGGGTTTATATTTATCTCAATCCCAACACAAACCCTATGAGTTAGAGATTACCAAAATCTCCACAGACAGAGGCTCAGAGAGTTTCTGAGGTCCAAGGTGGGTTTTTGAGGGGGGAGAATGACTCGGTCTATCAGTGAGAAGAAAGCATGTGGAGCATCTTCCACAGAACTCTTCTATGCCAATTATAGGAAAGCTGAAGTCCTGAGCAGAAGAACAAGAAGTGCAGTGGTTTTCTATCCTCCTTCTTTCTGTCCTCTGAGAACATCTCACCGTCATGGGAAGGCAAATGCATGAGTTTTGATTTTGCCTTGAGTACCTTAATTTCCTTTAAATGATTGTGATATGTTTTGAGATTCATTTGTTGTCTTATTCTAAAATGTTTAACCAAATGGGAAATTATTCTCTCTGTGTGTCTCTTAAATTGTTAATTCTTTATTTTCATATTGTTTTAGTTTAATTTATTCCTTCTATCATTAAGTACTGTGTCCATGAATATGTAACTGGCATTGTTGTTTGTCTCTTTCTAACCACTTTGTACTAATTTTTTAAATCCTAGGTTATCATGTAATTACTGTTGCCATCATTTTTCTGTGAAATCCACATATTCTAGTTTATGGATATAAGAAGATAACAATTATCAAGCAGCTTTTGTTTCCAATTTTAGTCTCCATCTGATAAATAATTGCGATTTTTTCCACCCCCTCTCTTAAATATACCCAATTATAATACTAAACATCTAGGAACTGGCTCATGTGTGCTTGCAAACTCAGCCTTCCTGACTCTAGGTGATATTTACATCTTCCCTCTTTCTGTCTTTGGCCCATGACTCCCTTCACCCCAAGGAGATGTATTTGGTGTTCCTACGCAGGAATGCCTCCACTGAATTTTTGGATTTATTCTCAGTCATCACCCACCTTAACCAGGACAAACCTACTCAACCTTTGTGTGCAATAAGCTAGAAGTGCAGTACCTCTTTTCCCAGCATCTTAAAGAGATTTCAGTGATGTAATTTTTATGATTATTACTCATTTAAAATTCAGTCTGTTTTCACTAGGTCTTGGGTGTGAGTCTAGGAGAGGTGGGGTCAGTAGGGACATGAGGAGCAGCCACTTTGTGGAACTCAGTACTTTACCTCCAGTGAAACATCACCCAGGGGCTTGTGATCATTTCTGCTTCAAGCTCTCTCTACCCTGGGGTAAACACTTCTAGGGGGCTCCTAGGCAAAGGTTCCCTGGTGGGGGACACCCTTCCATTCTTCTAGGCTATGCCCCACACACACACACACACACATAAAATCATTATCTTTTCATTGACTTAAGTCTAATTAAAAAAAATTGGCTTTTATTCTCAGCCCATTACAAACCCAACTAAAAGCATGCTAAAAAGATATCAGTGGTAAGGGCAGTCCATATTTGAGCAGGGAGGTCATACATCTGTTTCCTGAAGTTGATCTGGAGAAGCCCTCTCAAATCATCAGAATGGATCTTCATTTTTCTGATAACATGGAACACTGACCAGAAGAGAATCACAGCTATGTTGAATTTACATATATTAATAAGATGTCTGAATTGAAAAATCAGTGCCATTGCTTCAGGTTCTGTATTGTCCTATAGTTCAAGGAGAATAGCCTGATAAAAATATGTTATCTCTAACAATAAAAGAAAAGTTCAGATCAATATCCTTGATGAATCTCGATGCAAAAATCCTCAACAAAATACTTGCAAACCAAATCCAGCAGCACATCAGAAAGATAACCCATCATGACCAAGTAGGCTTCATTCCTGTGTTGCAAGTTTGGTTCAACATATGCAAATCAAGAAATGAAACTCAACACATGACAGAACTAACAACAAAAACACATGATTATCTCAATAGACACAGAAAAGACTTTCAATAAAATTCAACACCCCATTCATGTTAAAAACTCTCAGTAAATTAGGTATTGAAGGAACATACCTCAAAATAAGAACCATCTATGAAAAACTCACAGCCAACATCATACTAAATGGGCAAAACTGGAAGCACTCCCCTTGATAACTGGCAAAGGCCAAGGATGCTCTCTCTCACCATTTCTATTCAACGTAGTACTGAAAGTCTTAGCCAGAGCAATCAGGCCAGAGAAAGAAATAAAAAACATCCAAATAGGAAGAAAGGAAGTCAAACTATCTCAGTGTGCAGATGACATGATTCTGTATCTAGAAAACCCCGTAGTCTCAGTCCAAAAGCTCTTTCTGCTGATAAACAAATTCAGCAAAGTTTCAGGATACAAAATCAAAGTACAAAAATCACTAGCATTTCTATACACCAACAACATCCAAGCTGAGAGCCAAATCAGAAAGGCAATCCCATTCACAATTGCCACAAAATGAATAAAATACCTGGGAATATAGCTAACAATGGTGGTGAAAGATCTCTGCAATAAGAATTACAAAACACTGCTCAAAGAAACCAGAGAAGACACAAACAAATGGAAAAACATCCCATGCTCATGAGTATGAATAATCAATATCATTAAAGTGGTCATACTTCCCAAAGCAATGTACAGATTCAGTGCTATTCCTATCAAACTACCAATGACATTCTTCACAGAACTAGAAAAAACAATTTTAAAATTCATATGGAATCAAAAAAGAGCCTGAATAGCCAATGCAATTCCAAGCAAAAATAACAAAGCTGGGGCATCATGTTACTTGACTTCAAACTATACTACAAAGCTGCAGTAACTGAAACAGCATGGTACTGGTATAAAAACAGGCATTTAGACTAATGAAACAGAATAGAGACCAGAAATAAGGCTGCACACCTATGGTCATCTGTTCTTCAATAAATCTGACAAAAACAAGCAATGGGGCATTCCCTATTAAATAAATGGTGCTGGGATAACTGGTTAGCCATATGCAGAAGACTGAAGCTGGAACACTTCCTTACACTATATGCAAAAATCAACTCAAGATAGATTAAAGACTTAAATATAAAACCTCAAACTATAAAAACCCTGGAAGACAAGCTAAGTAATGTCATCCCAGACATAGGAACGGGCTAAGATTTTATAATAAAGATGCCAAAAGCAAGCACAACAAGAGGAAAAATTGACAAGTGGAATCTTATTAAACTAAAGAGCACCTACACAGCAAAAGAAACTATCAACAAAGTAAACAGACAACCTGCAGAATTGGAGAAAATATTTGCAAACTATGCATCTGACAAAGGTGTAATAAAACTTAAACAATTTTACAAGAGTAAAACAAACAACCCCATTAAAAAGTGGGCAAAGGACATTAATAGACACTTCTCAAAAGAGGACATACATGTGGCCAACAAACATGAAAAAAAGCTCATCACTGATCATTAGAGACATGCAAATTAAAATCGAAATGAGATGCCATCTGACACCACTGAGATGGTCAGAATGGCTATGATTAAAAAGTCAAAAAATAACAGATGCTGGCAAGGTTGTGGAGAAAAGAGAACACTTATACACTGTTGTTGGGAGTGTAAATTCTTTTAACTATTGTGGAAAGCAGTATGGAGTTTCCTCAAAGAGTTAAAAGCAGAACTACCATCGGACCCAGCAATCTCACTACTGGTATATACCCCAAAGAATAGAAATCATTTCATCATAAAGAAACATACACACGAATATTCATGGCAGCACTATTCATAATAGCAAAGAAATAGAATCAACCTAATGTCCATCAATGACAGATATAATAAAGAAAATGTGGTACATTTACACCATGGAATACTATGTAGCCATAAAAATGAACTAGTTTATGTCTTCTGTGGGAACGTGGATAGAGCTGGAGGCTATTATCCTCAGCAAACTAACACAGGAACAGAAAACCAAATACTGCATGTTCTCACCTGTAAGTGGGAGCTAAATGATGAGAACATATGAACATGAAGAAGGAAACAACAGACACTGTGGTCTACTTGAGGGCAGAGGGTGGGAGGAGGGAGAGGAGCAGAAAAGACAACTATTGGGAACTGGGATTAATTCCTGGGTGATGAAATAATCTGTATGATGAACCCCCATGACACGTTTACCTATGTAACAAACCTTCACATGTACTCTCGTACCTAAAATAAAAGTTAAAACAACAACAACAAAAAAACCCCAAAATATGTGATCGCTACCTTACCTGGTCACTCTTCATTGGCAAAGACAGCTGCATAACAGGATAAGCGGTTCCATTTAGGAAAGAACTTCCAACATAATGCTCACAGTTTAACTTTCTAAAGCAACCAAATAGTCTTGACATTTCTGATAATTATCACTGGAAAGCGATGTATGGGCTTCTGAAATATTTGTACCTTCATAATTCACATTTCCGTTGCCAGGATTGTTTTGGCATAAAGATGGTCCCAAATAAGAACCTTTTCTTGGTGCTATAGTTAATAAGAGTTTGGCAAAGAAAGCCAAACTCTTAAAAAGAGAAAGCTTGTGGCTTTCTTTTTAAAATGAAACTCTTTTTTCTGTTTATCAAAGTTATATGTGCTCATCACAAAAACTAAGAAAATATAGACAGAATCACCTAAATCATACCATAAAGAAATGGTATAATCATTATTGTGAATATTTTTTATTTTAAAGTGTTTAGATTCTGTCATTGGACATTTGGGTGGTCTTAGCTAAGTTACTTAACCTCTCTGAGATTTAGTCTCCTTATTTTAAAGATGGGGGTAATAACAACCTAACTGAAATTAATAGGGTTGTTGTGAGCACTTAATGCATCAATGTATGTAAAACTTAACAATAACCAGCACATAGTAAATGCTCAGTACATGCTAGTTGTTAATATTATTTTCATAATTGTTATCATTATAATGATCCTTATTATTTCCACATAATTTTATCCTTTTTTCTATATATGCTTTTTCACATAGTTGGGTTCAGGCTGTCTATATAATTTTGTATATAGCTTAATCACAAACATTAGAAAATAAACATTAACGAAAGTTATTGCAACCTCTTTGTACACATAATTGAAAATAGTGAAATAATATTATACTTAGACACGGAACCTTAATTTACTTAACTGTTGTTAGATATTTATGTTGTTCATAATTTTTCAGTATTACAAATAATGAGACAAGAAACATCTGTGCATAAACTTACGTGCGGGTACTTAAGCTTATTTCTTCAGAGTGAAATTACTAGTTCAAAAGTAACACTTGGGATACATCATGTAAAATTATTTTCTAAAAGAGTTTTGACAACTCATATTCCCCAGAGCATTGTACAATTGGGCATATTTCAGTGGGATCTTGACAACATTTGAAATTATTGTTGAGATTAGTTCTTTTACAGGTAAGGGTTCATCAATGCATGCAACACAGATATTATTGAGCCTACTGCATGTTAGAAACTGTTGGGCACTGAGATAGAGGGGGAAAGGACAGAGAGTCTTTGTTCTTATGGAACTTATACTTGGGGCAGATATAAACAGGAAATAAGCACAATTTAAACAATCACTTAATTGTGAGTATGATGCATGTTATAATGGAGAAATATGTGCTACTCTGAGCGATTAAGGAGGCATACTGATTTAGTCTTGACCTCTCAAGACTAAGGCTTCTTTAAGACAGAGACACTTCATCTGCTGCAAAAGGGGTAAGTTGGAGTATCTTAGTAAAGAGCAGGTGCAGGGAATGGCATTCCAGGCAGAGGGAACAAGACATGCAAATATTGGTGAGAGGACCATGGCTTGCCAGAGGAGCCAAGGAAGAGCCAGAGAGGTGGGGCACTGAGAAGCAGGGAGTGTGCCAAGGAAAAGACAGGCTGAAGAGGTAAGGAGGACAGGGACTAATCCTAAGATTAGCTAGCGAAGCTGAAAGGATTTTAGTATGAGAGTAATATTATTAGCATTTTAAAGAGGCTAAATTGGTTAGAATTTGCAGAGAATGGTTTGTAGGGAGGTGTGAGAGAAAGCTCCTGAACTGTATCTGTGGAGGGACAATGGTAGTTTAAGCTACAGTTGCAGATAGAGAAAGAAGTTCTCTATATATTTAACATTTAATATCTATCTATCTATCTATTTAACTTCTCTATCTGCAACCACTGTAGCTCAAACTACCATTTTCCCCCCACAGGGCATTTTATATATATATATATATATATATATAGAGAGAGAGAGAGAGAGAGAGAGAGAGAGAGAGAGAGAGAGACGTTATGATTAGGAGGTAGGAGAGGGAGGGCAGTTGAATGTCCTTGGAAGGTGAAAGAAAAGAAAAGCATATGTTAAATACAGTTTTCAAATTTCTGGTATCAGCAATGGAGTAGATTATTATGAATGGAAATGGGGGGAGAAGCATAGTTGAAAGAGAATGGACTTCAGATTTGAAGGTGCTGAAATTGATCTGAGAAAAACAAGGGGGAAAGTTAAGCAGTGAGTTGAGAAAATGTGTCTAAAACCCAGATAAGGGGTCGGGGATGGAATAAGTGGCCATTACGATGTATATATATTAGTATATTGATGGTATATATATTAGTATATTGATGATATTTTGAATTGCAGAAGTTGGTGAGATGACTTAGGGACAAGTGTAGAGTGAGAAGGAAAAAGAGCCTGGAAAAAGCCCTGAATGATTCCAAAGTTTAATAATCACCTAGAGAAGGAGAAGCTAGAAAAGGATGGAGAAATTCTCAGAGGTATGGATGGAAGCTGAGGTGTGCGGTGTCAGGGAAGCCCAGGGAAAAATGTGCTCTCAGGAAGGAGTCATAGTGTGAATTGCTGAATAGAAGCAGTCAAGAAAGAAGAGGATTGAAAGGTATCTATAGGATTAAACAATAACCAGGTGATGGCTGACTTTACAAATGCATTTTTCAAGGAGTAGTAGGGGTGGAAGGCAGATAGGAATGAGTTGAAGTATGGAGAGGAGGTAAGTAAGTGGAGGCAAAATGTGTAGATAAATCTGAAGGAATGCTTTCTGCAAAGATAGAAAAGAACATTGGAATTGTGGAAACCAGTAGATATAGTTTTAAAGGTGGGAGAGGCTAGAAAAAGTTTCAATAATAATGGGAAGGATCCAGAAAAAAGGAGAGGATGGAGATACTGGATGTGGAGGAGATACTGCTAAAGCCAGGTCCAGGGAAGGCAGGAGGAGGTGCAGGCCAGCTACTGGCAGAGAAATTGGCCAGAACAAGAGGAGAGGCAGTTTCTCATTTTGATAGATGGCCACAAGGAGAGGACAGGTGCATTTGTAGATAGGTTTCTATAATTGGTGGTAGGAACTTCAGGAGGTTATCCTATGCTGGTTTAAATAACCTTATTAAAGATTGAAGCAAGGTGATTGACAGAGTGGGGCTGAGAGACAACTTGGATATTTGAGAAATACCGAGAAGATATTGAAAAAGTTGGTTAAGAAAAGATAATTGAGTTACCAGCTGGTTGTCTTGGTGATTATGTGTTTACAGTGACATTAACTTGCCTACTGTGTGTGATTTTCATGAATTGTGCTTGGCTATGTACAGGCCTGGAGAAAGCAATAGGTCATCGATGGCTGCAGTTTTGCTAGGTGGCCTCATGGGAGGAAGAAGGAGTGTGGAAGTTTAGAGGTTTGGAAAGATAATGGTGGACTGTGAGATCTAAGCTGGGTGAGGAGGAAGATGGAGAAAGTATTGGAAGAAGTTTGGGTGTGTCAATTGAATGTGATTGAAGCAGGCAAAGTAGAGGCGCTGTAAAAGGTGTTGAATAACAAGTGGAAGGAGGTGGTCAGCTTTTCATTAGAGACCTTGTACAAGGTGTTATTATAGGAAAACGAGGGTATATTTGGGGATTTTGTGTACTGAAATGAATGGGCCGACAGTGTTCTGTAGAAGTAAGGAGCTTAAGGAAGTGAAAAACCTGACTATTCAGTAAGCAGGTCATCCTTGTGGAATCATAAGAATGATGGCTTTTTGGAGTTGAGCCAAGAAGAAGCAGGTGAGCCAACAACTTTGGAAAACAATGGAGAGTGACCAAATGTCTATAGAGGATGAGAATAAAGAGGAGAGGTTGGTGCAGCCAGGAGAGCTGAGCTTCATTATTTCAATTTGTATATTTGTAAATGGAGCATTTTAAATGTTTAACATTTGTACATTGTAAAGGTTGACCTGAGTCCATGGGTTCACACTTGTTACCTACATTGCACTGGACTCTTATGACTTTCCTGTTCATGACTTTTTTCCATTTCTCTGTTGGAGTTTTAGTGTTTTTACTCATTTATTGTACAAGTCATTTATATGTTAGGATTAGACAACTTTTTTGTCTGCTATCTGTTGCAAATATTTTTCTAAATATACTTTTTGATTGTTGATTTGGAAACTATTAATCGTGGATTTGTGTTAATCATTAACACAAAAATTAGAGCCAAATACAGAACTTGTACATTTTTAAGCAACATATCTATGTTTATTATTTCTTTTAATTTGAAATTTAAAATGTTATTCCAAAGTTAAATATTTGATTAAAATTGCATTAAATTTTATTGTACATTTTAAAGCAGTTGTGAAGTTTAGTATTTAACTTATTTATTCCTCTGAATTTTCTCTGTATTTAGTTTTAGGTAGTTTTCTATAATTTTCTTTCTATATAACCAACCATGAGAAATTAACTTTCCCACTGATTTCAAGCTACCAATGTGACCTCAACCAGATCACAAAATTCCTGAAAATTTAACAATATGCTCTCACAAGCTGGTACATGTGGCTCTGCACATCACTGTTGCTTCTGCTTCATTACTTTCTGCTTAGAGAACTTCATTAGGCATCATCTTTGCTTTATTACCCCGATGAACTTTGGAATCATTTCGTCAAGTTCTCCTCAAAACTGTCCAGTTTTATGATAAGAATAAAATTAAATCCATGTACTAATCAAATAATTAAAAATTATGTTATAGAGTAAACTTTATTGCAGTTTTTTTAAATTTGCATAATGTTTTATTGCTTTTTAATATGGAATTTGCCACATTACTCTTTCTATGGTATCTATAATGTCATCTCTTTTATTTATATTGTTTATGCAATTTTTGGAAGCTGGTTATTCCTGGATATAAGGAATAAGTACATTTATCTTATATAAAGTCACTTTGAAGGATCAATGCTTTTTAACCTCATTATGGAACTCAGTGGATCATAAAGCCATGTGTTCCACCTTCACAACCCATATTCATTTTTTAAGTTCATTTTTAAAGGTTAGTTTAAGACTATTAAAGTATTGTAAAACTACTACTGAGCATTCTTGTGTGCCCTTCACCCAGCTTCCCCCAAAGATAATGTCTTATATAGCCACAGTGCATCATCAAAACCAGGCAATTGATATTGCCACAACTAAAGTATAGACCCTTTGCAGATTTACAATCAGTATTTCTTTAAAAATGAAATAGAAGAGAATAGGATTATCTTCTAGAACAAACATACCAGAGGGCATCATAAGAAATATAAGTATGTATGTATGTGTTATAAAAGTTTTATTTTACTTTTATTGGTTTGAGATGTAAAATGTCAGGGCTGTGATCAAAAAGTTCAAAAAATATTGTGCTAGATTCTCTTTTTAATTACAATAATCTTTCTTAGTACCTGAGTAGATTTAGAATGTGGTAGTTGTATCTTTGAAAAGATTAAAAAATAGGCATCCTCATTGTTTAAAAGGCACCAACCCTGAGGAAGAAGGTAAGGTCATCTCCTGGCCACACACTTCTGCATCATGTCACATGACCCATCAAGTTAGTTATTTAGATGTCAGGTTTCAATCTGACTATTTTAAGCTCCAAGTGTTTTACACTCTGGGCAATTAGGATATTTATCTCAGAATAGATTAATTTCAGAGTTGAAGGATCTATGAGACAATTTGGATGGAAAGAGTTAGGTAACTTGCCAATGTCAGGTCAGTCTGTCTCTGAAATTCACATTTTGGCATTTAACAATGTTTTGATTGAACAAATATCTCTTCTGATTACTGCATGTGAAGACTCAAGGATAAATAGTTTTTAATTTGTCCTTTTGGTGGCTCCCAGCGGGAAGGTATTTGTAAATCTAGAATAATGGCACTTGTGCTACAATAGTTATGATGGAGGCGTTTGCAGGTGCTGCAGGCAAAGCACAGTGAAGGGCATCCAACAGGAGAAGTGTTGGCCTCATGAGCAGTTGAGGGACCCCTGTCCTGAGTCTTGAAGGCTCAGATGGATGAGATAGGGAAGTCATAAGAACTGAGGAAAGAGCACGTGAAATACGCAGAGGTGAGAGACTGTAGCATTGGGGAGGTAAGAGGGTACCGAGATTTTTCTTCTTTCACTGGTGTGTGTTTTGGGAAAAATTAGACAGTGAAGAAAATACCCAATTCTTACAGTGGCAAATGTGAGAAGGACCCTGGAAGTCAGAAGAGCGGGTGTGTTGTGGGAGGGCTGCCCTCTGAGGCATGTTAACAGTGCTCCATAATTACCACTTGACAAGGACAAAGGCAAATCCAGCGATGCAGAGAGCCCACAAACCTCCAAAATCTTACAAGCGAATCAACTAATCGTCATCAAATACTTAATTGGGAGCCCGCCCAGTCTGCACTCCATATTCCTTATGTCATATTCCTTATGACAGAAACATCCTAGGCCTGGCATTAGTATGCTGCCACACTTGCATTCACTTTGTCGCGTCAGTCTGTTGTTTTGCAGCCAGCATAAATCAATAGTAACCGGCCGGGCGCGGTGGCTCACGCCTGTAATCCCAGCACTTTGGGAGGCCGAGGCGGGTGGATCATGAGGTCAGGAGATCGAGACCATCCTGGCTAACAAGGTGAAACCCCGTCTCTACTAAAAATACAAAAAATTAGCCGGGCGCTGTGGCGGGAGCCTGTAGTCCCAGCTACTCGGGAGGCTCAGGCAGGAGAATGGCGTGAACCCGGGAAGTGGAGCTTGCAGCGAGCCGAGATTGCGCCACTGCAGTCCACAGTCCGGCCTGGGCGACAGAGCGAGACTCCGTCTCAAAAAAAAAAAAAAAAAAAAAATCAATAGTAACCACCCAGGGTGTAGGGATTGTTGGAGGTTTGGCTCACAATGAAAGCAGAACAAACCCCAAACCACAGGCGTACCCACAGCCTAGACCTATAGGCATCTCTGAGACCCAGGGAGCCAGGGAGCTATTCCAGCCCTCCGAGATGGCTATGGGTTAGGAATAATAAATAAAGTTATTCACTGTTTAATCTTTTCCTACCTGCATCCCCTGAAAACCTCACTCAGTAAAGGGCAGCTTGTTTGAGGCTGGTGTGGGAGGAATTCCGATGAAGCTATGTGCCCAGATCTGCACAGTGAGGCGCCTTGCTACTAGATAGATGTCCCTGCCTCTGCGTACCCGCCAGTGTAACCTGTGTGGACCTCATGGTTTGGCTGTTGATACAGTGGGTTGCAGCCAGATGGCGCCTGAGTGTGACTGTCACTCAGAGAGCCTGTTCTTCTTAACCCTCTCCTACAACTCAACCCTGTTCAATTATGTGATTGGAATTTCTTGAAAAGAAATACCAGAGACATTATGATTCTAGTGAAGATTTTTTTTTTAAATCACTGGAGGAGAGGTTGGAAATGTCAAAGGATCTAAAAGCACTCTGGAAATCCTCTTTGGGGAGTATTTTTGGGGAATATAATTGTGTGTGTATGCGTGGGTATGTAAAATGCTGGTGGCAGGTCAAGGGCCTGGAAGAAAGATCACAGAGCTGGAGATGCCCAATTCTTTTCCCCATGGACCAACAACTTCTATCACTGATCCTGAGTCATTGGAACTTTGCTCCTCACCTTTCTGCCAAAAAATACTGGAGGACTTAACTTTTATTCCTTTTATTCTTTTCCTCCTGAAATTTGCCCCATACCGAGGTCCCAGTGTTGACGGGAGGTTTCCTGAGGCTGTAGAAGCGGACTGTGGAACACACAGATTAATGCCAAATAGGAATCTGGCTGTCCAGAGTGTGGGAGGAGGACCTGTTGGCCCCAGTCAGAGAAATGTGAAGCTTCTATGAGTCTCCTCATCACAACTCAGTAAAGTACTCTTGGATTTTTCCACCTGACCTTGAGTTTCTGTTATTCCCCTCTTCAAGGTTCAGCTACCTTCTTCAGGTCCGATTTGCTTCTTTTCTTTCTCTTGATTAGTGAATCTTAATCTAGCCTGAGGGTAAAAGTCTCTCCATCAATGGTCCAAATATTTTGTTTATGACATAAATGCTGGAGGCTGAGATCTTCAAAACTCAGGCTTTTGAAATCCAGAAGCCTCTTAGTTGCTTGTGTGTTGTGCAGGTTTCCTCAATGAAGCAATGCTGCTGCTGGCTGAGAAGGCAGGAAGGGGAAGGGGTGCAGATAAGGAGGGAGAGGACACCTCAGACACCCTCCGATAGCCTTGACTGGATGGACAGCAGCCTTCTTAGGGCTTGGATGACCACGATGCCCCATAGGTGCTAGGATTGTTTTGAAAATTCTTGTAATAAGACATGAAAAACAAATAAGAGACATAAATATTTAAGTAAAATTAATTGATGATTTGCAGGTGACATGATTACCTCAAAAATTTAAAGCAATCAATTTAAGGACTATTACCATTATACTTCAAAATGTAGAAGAGTGGCATAATAAAAGGTAGACAAAACTAAACAGATTTGTTTCGCTTTAATCACCATCGATAAGATGTGAAATACAAAAAAAAAAAGCTATTCAAAGTAATAGAAAACAAGATGAATATACCCAGTGGTTTTAGGCACTTCATTTTTTCCTGTCATCTACCATATGACACACACAACATTATTCCTATTTTTCTAAAAAGAATCTTGAGTACCAAAAGAGACTTTGCTGCTAAGTTGCCATACTACTTCATCTTAGAATCAATAGAGCAACAGAATATAATAAATACATAGATTCTAAAAAAAACCTCTGTATAATGAAACATAATAAAATTGAGAGAAAAAGGACTACTTACTAGAAAATGTTTATATCAAATAAGACAGTTACAAAAAAAAGATAAAGTGCTTAAAGAGCTTATGCAAATGCACAAGCACTCACAAAAACACAATCGTTTACTGTGTAAAGAATGTGAACAAACAAAAGTGCATCTATAATTAGCAAATAAATGATTGGAAAGTGCCCATTATTTTTAGTGTTCAAAAAATGGCTAATGTAAAAGACCTGTGGAAATCATTTTGCAGCTATTAAAGAAGCACAATGAAAACTTATGATAACAGAACTTGAAGTTGGCCAGTTTATGGTCCTGCTTGCAAGATTATTCACTGATGGTGGTGTTTGAGGTGGAAAGAATTCTTTTGAACAGTGTTGTAGGAATATTTAGAATGAGCCATAAAGGTAATTATATTTCTTGACCCAACCATTTCAGACCCTATGAATTTATCCTAAGGAAATATTTTCCAGGAAAAAAACTCCATTTTTGCACAGATGATAGGTTTGCTGCAGCAGAGAGAGGGGTGTGGTGGTTTAGTGCCTACACTGAGGAGTCCATGCTCTTGGACTCATAAGTCTCTCACTCAACTACTTGGTGACTTCCAGAAGTAATGTGACTTCTCTGTATCTCAGCTTCTTCATGGCAATAAGAATGATGAAGCCTAAATAGTGGGTTGTTGTGATGATTAAATGAATTCACAAATATAGAGTATCTAGAAAATGTCTGGTGTATTGTAACCGTTCTATTAGTTAATATAAACTATGATCATGGGAAACATTTTAAAAAAGGAATCAATTACCTCACACTAAGAGGATTGTTTAACATTTATATTGCCCTGACATGATGCTATTTATAAAACCACTAAGAAGGTATTTTGAGGACTTTACAATGGGAAAACGAATTTATAATAGAATATTCAGTAAAATAAAGGACTAAAAATGCTGAAGTTACTATGATCACAACCATGCAAAATATGTATAAAGGAGGAAAGACGAAAATTGTTCTGTAGGAGTAATTTGTTGGATTGAGGGTTTGTGGAGCATTTTTCTTCCATCTTATTTTGCTGTTTTTAATTAAAAATAAAAAAACCCAATACCATTCCTAAACTACAAGCACACCACAGAGATATTGCGGGTTCAGTTCCAAACCACAGCAATAAAGCAAATATCGCAATAAAGTTAGGCACATAAATTTTTGGTTTCACAGTGCATGTGTAGGTTATGTTTACACTGTACTGTAGTTTAAGTGTGCAATAGGATTGTGTCTAAAAAATGAATATAGATTAATTTTAAAATACTTTTTTTGTGTGAAAAATTGCTAATGATTATCTGAACCTTCAGTGAGTTGTAATCTTTTTGCTGGTGGAGAGTCTTGCCTCTAGGTTGGTGGCTGCTGACTGATCAGTGTGATGATTGCTAAAGGTTGGAATGGCTGGGAAAATTTCTTAAAACAATGAGGTTTACTGCATTCATTGACCCTTTCATGAAGAATTTATCTGTAACATGCAATTATGTTCAATAATATTTTACTCACAGTAAAACTTCTTTCTTTTCTTTTTTGAGACGGAGTCTCGCTGTCTCCCAGGTTGGAGTGCAGTGGCACGATCTCTGCTCACTGCAAGCTCCGTCTCCCAGGTTCACACCATTCTCCTGCCTCAGCCTCCCAAGTAGCTGGGACTACAGGTGCCCTCCACCATGCCTGGCTAATTTTTTTTTGTATTTTTAGTAGAGACGGTGTTTCACCGTGTTAGCCAGGATGGTCTCGATCTCCTAACCTCGTGATCCGCCCCCCTCGGCCTCCCAAAGTGCTGGGATTACAGGTGTGAGCCACTGCGCCCAGCCAAAACTTTCAAAATTTGAGTCAATCTTCTCAAACTCTGCCACTGATGTAACAACTAAGGTTACAGAATATTCTAAATCTTTTGTTGTGATTTCAATAATATTCACAGCATCTTATTGGGATTAGATGCCATCTCAAGAAACCACTTTCTTTGCTCATCCCTAATAAGCAACTCCTCATCTGTTCAAATTTGATCATGAGATTGCAGCAATTCAGTCACTTCTAATTCTAGTTCTCTTGCTATTTCCATCACATCTGCAGTTACTTACTCCACTGAAGTCTTGAAGCCCTCAAAGTCATGTAGAAGGGCTGGAATCAACTTCTTCATAACTCTTGTTAATGTTGATATTTTGACCTCTTCCCATGAATCACAAATGTTTTGAAGGACATCTAGAATGGTGACTCCTTTCCAGAAAGTTTTCAGTTTACTTTGTACAGATCTATCAGAAGAATCATGAATGGCTTATCTTGGATTTTGACACGACTTCCTCACCAAGCTTAATTATTTCTAGCTTTTGATTGACAGTGAGTGACTTGCGACTCTTCCTTTCATTTGAACACTTAGAGGCGATTGTGGGATTATTAATTGGTGTAATTTCAACATTGCTGTGTCTCGGAATAGGGAGGCTTGAGAGGAGAGAGTGAGAGGGGAATAGCCAGTAGGTGGAACAGTCAGAACACAAACACTTATCATTTAAGTTTGCTGTCTTATATGGGTGTGTTTTGTGGTGCCCCCAAACAAAATTATAATATCAAGATTGCTGATCATAGATCACCTAACAGATATAATAATAATGATAATAATAAAGTTTGAAATATTGTAAGAATTACCAAAATGCAACAGACATGTGGTGAGCACTTGCTGTTGGAAAACTGGTACTTACAGGCCTGCTCAACGCAGGGTTGCCACAAACCTTCAACTTGTAACATATACAATATATGTGAAGAGCAATAATGCAAAGCACAATAAAACAAGGTATGCATATAATTTCTTTTAAACACCACCTTTTGCTTTGACTGCTCTAGAGCACAAAATCATGCACAGCTGGAATGAGGCTGTTTGGGAAGCCTCAGTGGGGTACAGAAGACACGCAAGGTGTTGACAGCTGCAGCAAGCAGCAGCAGTGGGAGCTGCACACTTAGCTGCACTGGAAGCTTGAGCCCTTTCAGTAGCTCTTGCTCAGCTTTCCTGACCCTATACTCTGCTATGGGGAGACAAGTGGAGATCCCCTCTGACCAGATCACCTTCTGCTGCCTGTCACTCAAAATGAGATTCTTTATGTTGCTTTTTTTCTTTCTTTTTTCCTTTTTATTAATGTCTGTGATGTATTTTTTCCTAAAAATAGTTTTATTGAGATATGATTGACATACAAAAGCTGCCCATATTTAATGTAGGCAATTTGATGAGTTTAGCCATGTGCATAGATCCATCCATAAAGCCATAACCAAAATCAAGGTAATAAACATATCCATCAATTTCAAAACTTTCCTCTTGCCCCTTTGTTTTGTTTCTGTTTGTTTTGTTGTGGTAAAAATGAGAGGGAGAAATGGGGACTTGTTCAATAAATATACAAATTCAGTTATGCAAGATAAATAAGTCTAGAGATCTGCTGTACAACATAATGCTGAGTTAATAATACTGTATTGCACACTCAAATACTTGTTAAAAGAGAAATTATTTGATTTTTATTAAAAAGGTTTTAAGGGCCTTGGGAAACCTTGGAAGTTTAGAGTCAAATATCTGAAAGTCCCTTCCTGAGGAAGAGGTGGGGAATGATGATTGGGTTGCTGCAAATTTGGCCTGGCCTTGTCTTTGGAGAGGTGAGCTGACACCATATTGAAGTCTGAGACTGGGGGACTAGTTTATAAGAATAATTAAAGATTCTCTGTAATTGGTATCAACATGCTGGTCTTAGATCAGTAATGATCAAGTGCTGCTCCGTTACTTAGCTGTGTGCCTGGGCAAGTTACTTTCCTCATGTAAGAATTGAGGTAATAAATGTGCCTTACTGTATGGATTTTGTAAAACTAAAAGAAATAATAAAAATATTGTCAGTACCTGGCATACATATAGTAAGTATTCGATATATTTCCTACTTTTTATTTTTTTTTTGAGATGGAGTCTCCCTGTCGCCCAAGCTGGAGTGCAGTGGCGTGATCTCGGCTTACTGTAATCTCTGCCTCCTGGGTTCAAGTGATTCTCATGCCTCAGCCTCCCAAGTCGCTGGGATTACAGGCTTTTGCGACCACATCCGGCTAATTTTTATTTATTTATTTATTTATTTTCAGTAGAGATGAAGTTTCCCCATGTGGGCCAGGCTGGTCTCACTGACCTCAGGTGATCCGCCCGTCTCGGACTCCCACAGTGCTGGGATTACAGGCATGAACCACCGCGCCCAGCCTGTTTCCTGCTTCTGATGTAAGCAGTCTTCAGTGAGGTTAGGCAGGCAGGAGCAGGGTAGAAAGGAGGAAGTGGAGGAGGGCAGGCAACTGTTCAGGACAAGGTGCACATGAGCTAGATTGTTAATTTCAATAGTCTTCATGGATCAAACTGTCTTATTATCTTCTGCAGTTAAGCATCTTGACAAAAGCAGTTATTTCTTCCCCAGCTCCTCCCTTTTGATGACATTCGTGGCTGTTAACTCATTAATTTATGCAGTGTCACCAATTCTCAGAAAAGGATGATTTCCATTGAGGCTAATGAGGTGACACCCAATGAACAAGGCTGATGTGTAAAGGAGACTCAGCTGTTGGTAAGCAGCTCCATGTGTCTCTTGCAATTCCAGATGAAGCTACTGCCAGTGAGGCCAGAGGCCTTGGTCCTATTGAGTATCAGAATGTATCCTTCACAAATCGGGAAGTCTCCTCCATGAGAGACATAGTACCCAGAAGGCTGGGGTCACCTTTGGCCAGACTTGGGTAGCTTATTAATCTTCCATAGCATTGATGTTTGCTAAAATGCTTGGCTGACGATTAAAAGATCAACCTAAAAGCATTACAATGTGGTTTCCAATCTTGGAGTTCCTAGGTCATAGGCTAAAACTGGTAATCAGTTGAATGCTGTTGAACAAGATGGATAAGGAAAAGAAAATATTTGAAAAGTATGCAGAACCAGAACCTTTTGGTGAGACCAGACTGTGTGCATAAATATCAAATTAGGGCTAGTCTGCAGGTCAGGCCACTTCTTTTATCACCAAGATGACCTGCATCACTGCAAACATGATGCAGTGGGGGGCCTGTGTTTATTGCTTGCTGTGTTAACAGCAAGATTTGTGTCTCCGGCAAGACTAATTTAATTGGTTCATTTACTCATTTCACAAATATTTGAGCGCCAAGTATGAGTCAGGCACTATTCTAGGCTCTGGGAAATCAGTGATGACAAGGACCAGTCCGTGTGCTCAGGAAGAGAGCATCATGTTGGAAGAAATGGACAATTAATAGGTTGATAGGTACATATGCAATGTAATTTCAGGTGCATAAGACTACAAGGAAAAATAAAGCAAGACTAAATGGAAGGTGACAGGGAGTGAAAGAGCTATTTCAGAAGAAGCATTTGGGGAACTCTCTAAGGGGATTATACTTGGGCAAAGGGCTAAATGAAGTGAAGAAGTAAAATACAAGACCTGGGGGAATTGCAACAAGAAATGCTGTTGGCTCTACCTCCCAATTATATACAGAATATACACACTTCTCCCAACCTTCATGGCCAAATCTCTGACCCCATTAGCATTAATTCCTTATTGTGGGTCACCCAATGGCCTCCAGACCAATATCCTTGCTTTACTCTCTCTTCCCTCCCATCACACACAGTCTATTCTTAACACAATGTCCAGAACACATCTTTAAAATTCTGTCATTTAATGCCATTTTGGTGCTAAAAATCCTGAATGGCTCCCTATTTTGTTCAGCATCAAATTTCAAGTTCTTACCATGGCCTAGGAGGACTGATGAGCTCTAGTTATTTCCTGTGGATCTGTGAACAGGATGAGTGCTGTGTGCAATATAGGGATGAACACTTGTTCCCCATTGCCATCCTAAACCCTGGAGGAACAAAGGTTTCTGCTGCTTCCATTTCCAGCTTTCTAGGCCTGTTGTTGACTCTGGACATACATGAGGAGGCTGGAAACAGTGGAGACTGTAATAAGAGTTTAGGAATAAGAGAGCTTCCTATCTCCCCGTCTCATTCCTGGAAAACAATGAGAGGATTTGGTAAATGGCAAGGCATCAAACTTGGTATATTGGTTAGGGTGGGTAAAATGCACAGCCTCCAATTTTAATATTTTAAAACAATAAAAGTTTATCTGGGGTCCATGCAAAGTTTGGGGGTTGAGGGTGTTCATTCTACTAGAACTGAGATCCACTAGGACCCAGAGATTTTCTCTATCTGGTGGTTTAAAGAAGAAAGAGAGAAAACATGGAGGATGGCACAAAATATTTTGGAGCTTGGTCTGGAAGTGGTATAGATCACTTTCTACCTACATTCCACTGGCCAGAGCAGATCATATGCCCACCTCCTTACAAAAAGGCAGGAAAGTGTTGTTTCTTATGTGCCTAGGAAGGGGAAATTTTGGTGAAGATCTGGTCATGTTCTGCTACCCCTGGAAGAGCTGGATCATGGAATGTGAGTTGGTCTAAATGTTGAAAATTTCAGGCAAAGGAAATGACATACAGGGCACAGTCCAGTACAGACACCAGAGAAGTCAAGGCATATTTCGGGACTTTACATGTCTTTTTTGACTTGAGAGAAGGGTATTAGTGGGGAGAATGTTATGAGTTAACACCTGAGAGAAAGGCTGCGGTCAGACTCTGTGGTGCCCTCTGTGCCATGCGAAAGTGTTTGGGCTTTGCTCTGTAGTAAAGAGGAAGAGGCCATCAAAAGACTTTAAATAAAGGATTTTCATGTTTAGAGTGATATTTTGGAAAGTCATTCTAAAATGGAGGAAAAGACTAGAAGCAAGGACATCATCAGGAGGCTGCTACTTCTAGTATTCCCTATCTCAGAGATTCTCAAACTTGACTCACACATAAGCTATGTTTTCCAACTTTACACAGCACTGATATATTTATGTATAGATATATACATATCGCATATGCACATATATAAAACAGTTCATGATAGTTTGTATTATAATATATTTTATTTTTTTAAATGATGGCTGCCACACATTAAATTGAATTCTCTACCCTCTAATGGATTGTAAACTGCACTGTGAAAACTACTGCCCTATTTTATTAAAAGACAGCACCCTGCAGACAGTCTCCAGGCCCAAATCTGGGCATCATGTGAGGCACCCCAGTCATCCTTACATGTCTCTCCTCCATGAGAGACATAGTACCCAGAAGGTACCCCCCACAGCCCATTGGTCACATTACTTCTGGTCTATTTCTCAAGTTTCCCTCACCTAATTTTTGCTGTCATCACTGTTTAGATGGGTGGCTTGCAACGCGTGGTCTAGGGATTCCTCAGGCTCTGCAAGACCATCTTATGAGGTACAAAGGGTCAAGAATATGTTCACATTTTTATAGTCACACTGCCATTTTCGTTTTCACTCTTATTCTTTCACAGCTGTACAGTGGGGTTTTCTAGAATGATGAGTGATGGCATCAATTGCTCTGATGGCAAATGAAATGGATGCTTGTGTAGTTGTGTGTTTTCATTTTCTTTTAGTTTTAATGCTCAATATGTTAAATATTGATAGATGTAATTAAAACCTTGATATTTTTAAGAGTGCAGTGGGGTCCTGAGACCAAGGAGCTCAAGAGCCCCTGTTTTGCACTTTCATGATTGTGAATTCTCATTATCACCATGAATGCCTGGATGTGATTTTGTGGCCTGCGGTGCCTCTGAACAAACACTCATAGTCGATTATCTGGCCCTCCACCTCAGCAGTAGGATTTCCTTTTCTGATTACTCAGAAGAATGTCTGCCTTGTGATTTCTTGAGCGCTATTGCCAACTCTGTCCTTGATCCTCGGCCTCTTCATTGACTTTAGAACATTAGGATTCTGCTTTTATACTCTAAAGGTTGGAGGGTCCTATGCTGAGACCCCTAAGTTACTCTGTCAGAACTCATGCATTTGTTATCTCATCTAATTCCAAGGCTGTGAACACTATCTACAGTCTGACCACCCAGACATTTTTTTTCTCTAATTCCGACCCTGCTTATGAACTCCAGACTTGAATGTTGTTGTACACATATGCCTGCTGCTCACCTCTATATAGATACTTAAAATACAACTCAAAATTATTTTTCCCATAACTGAATTCCTAATTTCTTCTATAGCTCCTTCTCTCCCAACTTCCTCACATCAACAAAAAGCAATTACATTATTTAAGATACTCAGGCCAAACTCCTTGGCTTCCTCATCAGCTCATCTCTTTGCTAATATATCCAGTTCACTAATAAATTATGTTGACTGTATTATCCATGGGACAGCATTTCCCATAGATTTTCCTTAACTTTGCTACTCCTACCTTAGATGTAACCACCATCATCTTTTGTCTGAACTTTTACTATGGCCTGCTGATGGATTTTCTAGCTTCTATCCTTGCTCCTTGATATTCAAATCTCCATGCAGCTGAGAGGCCTCTTTATAGAATCCTCTAAAAAAAGAAACCCATTTTCAGTGGTCTATGTTTCCAGAGCCACTTCCACTTTCCTTTGAGGGGCCCAGACTTCGAGGCTCTGTGTGGGAGAGATTTACCCTCATGTCCAGATAAGGTTAGTCCCTGTTACTTCTCTAGGAAACTAATCTCAACCAGACCAAAACTTTCTTATTAAGACCACACTCTAGGGATGATACACATATTAGAGGGATCCAGACACCAAAGCTGTCAAAGTCTACCAACAAAACTTAACTACACACAATACACAATACTACCTATTTTAGACTTCAGAATAACCTTGGAAAGTTAGACCAATCATGCCTGGTAGGCAGTTTCATGGTAAAGGTGTTAGGCTCTCTGGACTGAGGATTGGGGTCAAGACTCAAAGCAAGGCACAGAATTCTAGAATAGAGGTCTCTGGTCCACCTTGAGCTCATCCATATGCTCTGTCACCCAAAGTTCCCTCCCTCACCTGACACAGAGCCAAGAGCACTCTCTAGTCTTGTTTTTTTCTGAGGCTGAGATAGAACAAGTGGTTCCCAGTATCTGGGGACATGCCCAATTAAATTAAGAGGTAGGCAGGAAGTCACATGTTAATGAGTGAGTCAGAACTTATTACTAGGGACACAGAAACAGGATTCATCTAAGAAGAAAGAAAAAGAAAAAGATCAAGGCATGTCAATGACTCCATATGGCGTGAGTGACCAAGTAGAAAACTGAGATAAGATCTCAGACAGGGAGGAGAGAGGTGTAAGACAAGGACCCAGGTGAACAGGAAAAAATGGGGTACATGTCTGAAAACAGTGGTTTAGGCACAGACTCAGATACAGGCAACATCCAGGCTGACTTGATAGTGAAACCCTTCAACCTGTTACTATTCCACTTGATGAAGTTTTTAGGTTGTGGTTAGATGAGAGATAGGGCCTGTGGCTCCCAGCTTGCCTGTTTTAGATGTCAGTTTTGGGCAGGCAGACTAAAGGACAGGAGCCAAGAAAAAAAAATGCCTCGCTCATTATCTTGCTTTGTGCCGGTCCTGGTGTGCAGTGCTGCACAAGCATTTTCTCATCGATCCTTTAACAGCCTGTTAGAAAGAAATTATTATCCCTATTTTAAAGGTGAGGAAATTGTGATTTGGTGACATCAATCAAATGATTCAGAACCATACAGCTAGAGAACTGTAGAGTAAGGGTTTACATCTGGTGTTTCTGACGCCACAGTCCATGCCCTTAACCATGGCACTATCCTCTCAATTATGAGTCCTGGGGGTAGAGGACTATCCGCACCTAAGTAACTAAACAGTGTGTGGCTTGAGGGCAGGTACCAATTGCTTTCTTCTGTGTGTTATTAGCATCTGACACAGAACCTTGCAGGTGCTTGGTGAAAATGCACCTAAAATGCACTAATCTCATTTTATCTTTCAAATAATCAAACACACATGAGTGTAATTTCAGCTTCCACTACTTTAAGAATGGGCACTAGAAGTGGGTCCCTCCAGTTTTATCAGTTAACTTTTACTTGATTGAACCTCAGCTTCCACTATTATCCTGTATCTTATGCTTTATAGACCTAAAACCATGAACCCCTTAGCCCTACAACTCAGAGGGACAGGCTCACTTTCTCTTCTTGAGAAACTGCCAGGCTTGTTTTTTACTATAACTGATATTTCCCTGAGTATCAAATTCCACTGTTGTGGTGCACATCCCTCTTCTAAAGGGATTTATTTCTTTCTCACCCAGAGGGATTTGAGGGTTCCTTGTTCTCTTTCCTGGAGGACTTTACACCACTTCCTCTTCCTAACTTGCCAAGCCTCTGTATGGTTATTCTCAAACTGGTTCCTGACTGAACAGCACCAGCACCACAAGGGAATATGTTAGACATGCAAATTATCAGCCCCCACCCAAGACCTATTGAATCAGAAGCTTGGGGGTGGAGCCAAATAGTCTGTTTTCACAAGCCCTCCAGGTAACTCTGATGCACATTAAGGTTAGAGATCCACTATTTTCAGCCCTCAGAGAGCTCATTTTGCTATCTTGAGAACTTCACAATAAGAAAAGGGAGGCTGAGATTCAATTTTTGCATCAAAATCTCTTCTCACCAGTCATCACCACCCAGCAGAGTCAAATCGTTCAAACTTCCTGCAGATCTCAAGAATTTTCAAGCTGAGCCTCTGCCCTTGATGCTCTGTCAGCTTTGTGTTTCTTAGAGAAATGTATTCTTATCATTGTAGGTGAACTCTGATGCCTCTTTATTGTATTGACAGGTCCTTGATAGAGTATAAAGATAAGAAACTAGATTTTGATGCAGGATGTGCAGAATTAGTTTAGGTGGTGGCAAGAGTAAAAGTAGATGCAGAGAAGTGAGGAGGAAAAATGGCCCAGATTGGGATGGAATTAGTTCCCTTGCTTAGGGATGGTGAAGTGAATGTACTTTCAAGGTCAGTGCAAGGCTGGTTTTGAGGTGGGTGGCTGCACCTCCCTAGGATGGAGAGAAGTAATGCTGTCATTTCTGGGGGCGTCTAGGCTACTGGAGTAGAGTGACCGTGGGTGGAGGATCATGATGAAGACCATTACTGACAAGGTACCTCAGGAAGGACAGCAAGGAGTCTGGACAGAGGTGGCTGCCCTAGGAAGATGAAGGCAGCAGCTGCAGGGGTGAAAGGAATAGAGAGGGCATTTGCAAAGAGAACAGCAGCACCTATGAGAAGAGAGGGCAAGGCTTGCTCTACTGCTTCTGCTGAAGGTTATATCAAAGAGCAATCACCAAGCCTGCAGCTTTGTGTTAAGTGTTCTGTTGGGGTCTGGTGTAACATAAGTGGGCAGGAGGGGTCTCTGTGGAGGAAAAAGGGGAGGTGCCAGGATCCTAGCAGGGGAAGGCCAGTGCTTGGAGAGACACAATGGATATGTAAGTACTGCAGCAGGGAAAATAAATTGTTCATTCCATAAACAGGAATTCCATCCTCACCATTTTCCAGGCACTATGCCTTTCCAGGGCCTAGGGACCAAGAGTTATATTTCTAATTTTTCTTTGTAGTTCTAACTTGCCATTCTCTTTTTTCCCACTCTCTTCTGTTCTGTGGGTCATGTCTTGTTAGTGTCTGTAGATTGGTGTAGTCTAAGGTGCCTCGTGTCAAGCTGAGGTTTCCGTAGAAACAGATAGAGATTTTGCTTTCTGAGTCTTGCAGGGAGTATTTCTGGCAATTTGTAAGAAATGGCAGAGTGTTCTTTGGGCAAGGTACTTGCACTCCTTGGAGGAGAAACAAAATAAACAGCACGTTATCCGAGAGCAGAGATGTTATGTTTTATTTTTCTGTTTTTTCCTTTCCCACTGTGTCTGGCTCTGCAAATCCACCTATGAGTACTTTCTGAGCATCTCCAAGTGAGATGTGTTCTACTCCAGTTTTTCCCCACCCAACGCTGGTGCTATCTCGCCTCCTCCAGATATAGTCCAGAGGGTGTCTAAGAGGAGAGAGGAAGGAGAGGTGGGAAGAAAAGATCGCCATTGAGGGCATTTGTTGCAACAAATTGAGAGAGTGAGGGATGATGGTTTCAGAGAAGCCCTATTGATTATGCTCTTGAAAATTTTGGTAGTTTGGGGTCAAAGTTATGCTATGTATGCTAGAAAACCTTGTGGAAATTTGATGTTTGATAAAAATATCCAGGCAATGGTAATGATTATGATCTTAAAATGGAGTTTAGAGGCAAAGGCAAGATCAAAAGGTAATCAATCTAAATTCCATAATGACCATGTCAGAAAGGCTTAAAGAGTGGATAGAAATTAGAATAGGGACCAGTAGTAGCGTTATGAGAATGGGTTAATAGGACCAAGTCTGAAGTCAGCAGATATTCCAAACTACTTTGGCCTTCATACTCAACCGCTTTGTCTCTGTGGACGGCCCTTGAATAGCCCACAGTCTGTTCTCTATGGATTGTGACACTTAGTGAGTGATAATCTACAGCCTATGTTGTTTTAGAACACACTTATAGTTTCCACTTGTGATACAAGCAGAGCTAGATAGTTAGTGCTGGGCTCCTTTCCCATTCCTTTACTTAATGTGTGGGGTTTATGTAAGTTTACTGTTCATTTAAATCTCTAATGTGTGGCTGCTGGATGTGATGAAGGACCTATCTGGATCCAAGCAATATTCTTGGCAAGAATACTCAGATGCATCAGGAATCCATCAGTGGATTGTTTTCCTAGAAGTGATGGGTGACTTCTGTAGGTGACATGAGAACCCCCAGGAGGTTGTGATCATTACTCAAGATCCCTTAAGGACCAATGTCTCTCAATCAGTGGCAAGGGTTAATTTTTTTGGCTCACTCCATCCATCTCATTAGATAATGACCCTGCTCCATATTGTGGGATGTGTATCATTTTGGGGATGAGAGGAAGAGATTTTAAAAGATGATGCTATGTGGAGAAGTAGGTCAATTATCATAAACTTTATGGAAATGGTGACTTACATCCAGGCTTGAGATGTTACCTTGCCTACAGCTGTGTTTCCAGAGGGTACCACATGATTAATTAAACCACTCAAGAATGTGAGGACCAAATTGTTCTTCATCTTCTTTAGGTTATCCTAGTGACTCCTGGAGCCACAGCTAGTACAGAGTCCTCAAAGTATTGATGAAACAATAAAAATATGACTTTTAAGAAAGGAGAGATAACTTCATTTGCACAGTATTTCCCCCAAGAGAATGGTGAGTGTGGTGGTGTTGAAACAGGGCTGCATGTTCTATGACAATCTTCTTACAAAGGTATGAAAATGAACAATCCTCTTGAATCTGGATGGGTTTGCGAGTGCTTCAACCAAGAGAACTTGGCAGAAGAGATGCTATGTGACTTCTGAGGCTAGGTTATGAAGGCCATGAGCTTCTGCCTCATTTTCTGGCATACTCACCCTTGGAATCCCGTTACTGTGGAATAAAGCTAACTACACTTAGGCTGCTGTGATGGATAGGTCCCATGTAGGTACTCTGAGCCAAACTTCTAGACCTGTAAGTGAATGAGACTTTCAGATGAGACGACTTGAATCAACTCCACCCATTCAAGTTTTCACATCTGGGGCTGCAGTCATTGTGGAGTGGATATAATCCATCCCTGCTCTACCTGATCCAAATTTTTGACCTATGGAATATGAGATCATAATAAAATATTTACTGTTTTATGCCGCTAAACTGTAGGGTGGCTTGTGTTCAGCAGTAGATTATTAGAATGGTGGGTAAAGCTGGAATTTGCACAACATCGGTAGCTACACATTGTACACTTCTTGTTCTACATTTGTAGAATTTGTCAAAGAAAGGTATTTCTAGTTACTAGGGATGGGAGTTGTAAAAGAAAGTAAAAAACTTTAGGATGCTTTAAATTTATTATGCCAAGGGGGAAGTTAAGCCCTAGAGACTTGGTCACGTAGCATGTTTGCAATTCTGCTTCTTAGATTATAGCTTAACTTTTTTCCTCATTTTTCTCATTCTGTAAATGACTAGGAGAGACCAGAGACCAGACCTCTTCCCCTTCCAATCACTGATCTTTGTTATAGATTACCTGCCCCCTTTATTGTCCTGAACCTAAGTCAGACCAGACGGCAAAAAAGACCTCATGACTGCTACGTCTTCAGTGTGGAATATTAAATATACCTTTCTTCTAAAAAAGACCCCTTAACTATGAAATCATTTTAGCTGTACATTAAACCTTGCAGAGAAAGATGTCAAAATTCTGTCAAGGTTCTCTAAACTTTGTCTATAAAAATAATTACAAACTTTTACACTTCAGAACACTGACTTCCATTCACTGGAATTTGTTTTCTGGGTGGCCATCCTCAAATGTTGCACTTGAATAATAGATTCTGACTCTTTTGATTATTTTAAGTTGACAGGATGGAGTAAACAATGCTGCCATCATCAAGAATAAGTATGCCTCCTTGGAGACAACCATATACCATTTAGGGGGACTATCCCCAGGAAATTAGTGGGTGGGGGACTAGTGACTCATACAGTAAGTGGCTGGTTGGTTCTAGGATCACGTACATATTAACATTCATGGCCTCACTGAAGATCATCAAGCTTTCCAGTTCCCACTGTGCTCCTTTTGGCAAGGATAGTTGGTGTATTAATCAGTGTCCATTAAGGAAAAACAGAATACCACATTTTATATAGGGATTTAAATTTGTTATGTAGATTGTAACCATTATCAATTATTACAAGAGTGCTGTATAACATGCTTCCTCTCCAGCCCCCAGTATTTGATGGTTTAATGCAAAAGCATTCATTTATCTCATGAACATAGCGATACAAAAGAGAAGTAGTGAGGACACTGGAGCTGCACTAGAGCTTGGGGGAGGGGCCCCTGCAGCTCCATCACTTGAGCTATGCAGGTGGCTGCCATGCTGCTGCTGATGGTGGGGCACCTGTGTCACTGCTCCAGCCACTAAGGGGAAGCTGTGCAGCTCCTAAGGCACTACTGATAGTGATTGGAGCTGAGAGTGCCAAAAGATTCTAGAAGTTGGGCCTACAACTGTCTGCTCTAGTCACCAGATCTGTAGGCAGAAAGAGTCCCTTCTTCCCTTTACTAACCTTCTTATCTCCTGCCAGTGCCTCTCATTGGCCAAAACCGAAAGAAAGACAGTTGCAAGGGATTCTGGGAAATGTGGTTTGAGGACTCTGAGCTTTACAATCACCAAGCACAGGAGGGATGGTCTCAGAGCTGAGGAACTCTGGATAAATAACTGACACCACTGGGAATCTTAACCCTTGGAATCCTCAAAAAATCCTCCAGAATTCTGTCCACAAATCACAGTAAGTTAGGACTCTTTTTGGTTGGAAGAAAATCTAAACCCAAGTTAACTTAAGCAAAAAATAAATTTTTGGCCTCTATGACTGAAGAATCCCAATATAGCTAGGTTTGGGTAAAGGATTAAATGATTTCACCAGGACCTGGTCTTTCTCCATCTCTCACTCTGCTTTTCTTTTTTTCTTTTCTACTTTTAGGCATGATCTCTTAATATGGAAGCAAGATTTTTCTCAACAGATTTAAAACTTCACAGCTACAAAAATAACATAAATAGGGATACTTCCTCTCCCTTTCAATTATTCCACCCTATCTCCCTGAGGCATCTACGATTGGTTCTGATATTTCATGTGAATTTACCAAGTAAATTTTGCTAAGTTCAACCACTAAATAAAGCTTGGATTAAAGGATTGGTAGTAATATCACCTTGGACTCAATTCGAGTGTACTTTACCTTGCTTTATGTCCAAAGTATCAAATAAGTTGTGCAAAAATCATACATACAGATGAGACAAGGAAGCATGGATGTGAGTGAGGTTCCCCATTGCTTTTCTTGTTTTACTCAGTCTTAGCAACCTGTATGGAGAAAATATTTCCTGGGTCAGAGGATAACATGCCTTTTACTCACCCAGCCTCTTTAACATCCAGAAAAGTATTTCTACTATGATCCAAGGAAATCATTATTTTAACTAGCAATCAATGACCCAAGCATACTCTCTGGACCTCAAGACTTTTGCTACACTAGCCCTGAGCAGCTAGCCTCCCCTTTCCTGCACTAAACGGTAGTGCCTAGGGAGTTTCTATTTATATACACATGAAGTCTTTCCATGGCCAGGCCCAGTCATGGTTTTTCACACCATCTATGCACATACTATGTCATGGGGACTTTGATATCCTCATTGTATGGATTAGAGTCATATGCCCATCCTTGGACCTAAGATGAGATCAGCTTAATCCAGTGTATGTTCAAAAGTAAGGGGGAAGGATAACTTCACAAAAGAAAATATTGAGGCAGGGGTGAGGGTGCTTTTATCAGAAGAAGAGAGACTGGGTACTAGGGAGACAAGTAAAATCATTCTACTAGTGGTTTCCTCTTATTCTGGGTGCAGGAGACTCTGAATCTAGGTCCTTACCTGTGCCCAGCAACCTGGGTTCTGAGAAAGGACAAGTCTTCAACACTCTCTCCAGTTCTTGATGTTGTTTCCCAACACCCAGCTTATCCATTCTTTCCCAGTTGCCATATATTCACTGATGACTGTTGTCGACACACCCCAGAATGCCATGTCTACAACCTTGGCTATTGTTCCCCCATACTTGGCAGCTGTCCACTCTTCTCCAGCATCTGCTGCCTTAGCAATGCTATCCTGAGTGTGAGGAGGCTTTTCCAGGTTGGTTTCCTCTCTAGCAGGGTTTTGAGTTCTTTCCAACTTTGGTGTTTTCCAAGATGCAATCCATTCTGTTTCTCTGCAGTTGGGGAGTTCCCACTAGCCAAGAATTACTTCTTGTTAAATCACCCCTTCCAAATGTTTTCTCTACAACCACTGTAATGAACTGACAGATGGGTGTCTTATCTTCAGGAGATATAATGAAGATTTATTTTCTAAACTGTTAGAACAAGCCAAGGTTATCATACAAAAAAGTGAACATACTGCAGATTGCACTCAATTCAACCAAAAATGTCAATTTCATTGGATATGACTTTTCCCTCCAAATCATGTTGACAATATAGATAAACTTGCACATACAGAGCTTATATCATCTTGTTGATTGCCTTGCTGATATATATTAATTTTTGAGAAAACTGAAACTTTTGTTGGTTCCATAAATCTTACTATATTTAGAATAACATTTAAAAGCATTAACTCTGGGTAATAGTTGCATTCATTTGATTCTCCTGTGTCCTTGAGAAAGAAAGGATCTGGGTACCTCATTTGGGCAACCTGAAGAAAAATACTCACATGTATGGGACTATCAGGTCCATTTGATACTTAACTATAAACAATGAGCTTCTGGGATTAGAACTATTACGGTAGCTCATATTTAAATAGGCAAATAAATCTGCCTTGAGAAATTTTTAATTCCTAGAATCATAGGCAACATGTTACTCTTGTGAATAACTAATCACCTATCCTGTTACTTGACTTTCTAAAGGGCTTTATTCTCTGGCTTCTGTAGCAGCTCCCTCCCTCCCTCTTCCTCTATTAAAAGGTCATTGCTTAGGAGTTTGCTCAGAGGTTAAATCCAGCTGTATTCCTACAGATTTTTTTTAACAGTAATAAGCAAATACCACAAAATAATTAGCACAAAATAATTGGCCTCTATGTCTGAAATCATCACAGAGGCTTAAATGCCACTGCTAGGTGGTCAAAAATTTATGTTGAATGTTCTCGTGGATGAATTGGCTTTATACCCAGAGTTAGCAGTGCAAGCAAACCATAAAAAAAAATGTACTAAACCACCAACTGACATTATGGAAATAAGACCCTGGCTGGCCAAAAACCACAGTGTATCAATTAGCAGGATTTTAGTAGTTGGCAGAGAGAACTCTGGTTCTGGAAACAGAATGCTACATGTTTTATGTAGTCATGTAATATTTCCCTTGTATTCAAAGATGGTACATAACACCTGCTGTGTGCATCGAGGAAGCTCAGATTACTGTGTTAATGTTTGCATCAACTGAGTTTGGACCGTCTATCCATTAAGTCTGGTGAATGAAATGACTAATTTAATTACCTAATGGATTGGTCTATTTGCTTTTCTCTCCACAGCTCTCCATAGAAATCTCAAGGACACAACTTTTCCCCCCATCTTGTGGAAGGTGAGGTGATAGGAATCTTGATTGCCTGATTCTTTCCAATAGGACTTTACAGAATGGTTGAATGAACCTTGGTGTGTGGTCATCACAGCAGATGTGAGTGACAGATGTTGAATTTGTCAGTTGAATCTGTCAGTCCTTCCAGAGTTCAGAGGTTGTATAGAGGAAGTTCACACTAGCCAGACTCATAGGTCCCCAACTCTGGAGGTAACATATGTTTGCATCAGACAGTCAAGAATTGAAATGTTGGCATTGCCATTTATTAGTTTATTAACTTTGGGAAAGGCTTTATTCTTTATGAATTTTAGTTTCCTCATTTGGAAAATGGAGAGATTACCTACCTAATATAATTATTGTGAGAATGGGGAATAATAGGTCAAACACAAATCTCTGCTTGGCATGCATTAGGTACCACTAAATAGTGTTATTCACTTACGGCAGCAGTAAACCTGGCAGGACATCAGTTTCCTAAAGCAGGTAAAATTACATCCTGGAAAGGTGTTTGGTGCTCATAAATTCAGGATAAAGATTTTTGGATGCCTTTTAAGGAAAATTTGTTTGTTTGCTTTGTTTGTTAAATCCATTAATTTCACCCTTGACCACTTTGAAATCAGGCAGATCTTATTTTCCCTGTAGCCTCTGGGAAGTTACTGGATCTTCCCGAGTCTCATTTTCTCTGCAGTAGATAGAATGGACAAAGTAGTCCTGGTTTTCTGGTATTGCTGTGAAGATTAAATAAGATGATATTCATAAGCCACCTTGTACAGTATCTGCACCTTTGTGGAATAAATGTGATAATTAATTCTCTTCTCTTTCTTAAATTTTAAGGATGACATTTTCTGATATTTGCTTCAAACTCTGAGTGAGACCCTATGCAGGTCCCACAGGTATGTAAGCACTAACTGTCTCTCCTAAGTGACTGGGCCACTGTCCTTGCACAGACCTGCCCATCTTCCCTTACTATGTTTCAGTAAAGACAAATAAGACTGAAGGTAAAGTTAAGGATGTTTTACCACCCAATTAGCATTTGTAGCTCATGCTATCCTCTTTGCCTTGGTTTTGATAAAAGTCCCAGAATTTTATTAACTTTGGTGTATCAATTGCTGGCATTCAGTCAGTGCATCTACAAATTTGCAAACCAACTTAGCTTACCCTCTTGTATTAGTTTTCCATTGCTACTGTAACAAAATGCAACAATTTCAGCTGCTAATACAACACAAACTTAGTGTCTTACAGTTCTGTAGGTCAGAAATCTGACACAGGTATTCCTGAGCTAAAATAAAGGTGTGCATGGGGCTGCCTTTATTTTGGGATACTCTAAGAAAGAGTCTGTTTCCTTGCCCATTTGGTTATTGACAGAATTCCATTCTTTGCTGTTGCAGCCCTGGGTCCCTGTGTTCTCGCTGGCTGTAAGCTGCTGGCAGTCCCCAGGTTCTAGAGGCTACTGCAGTCTTTGGCTCATGATCTACTTCCTCATTCTTCAAAGTCAGCACGTTCTTCTCACATTGCTCAGATTCACCCTGCCTCTTCCTTGTCTTTCACTTTAAAGGAATTGTAAGATTAAATCTGACCCACCCAGATAATCCAGAATAATATTCCCATCTCAAGGTATTAATCTCTTCTGCAAAGTCCCTTTTGCATGTAAGGTAACATACTCACAGATTCCTGGGTTTAGGATGTAGACATCTTTGGGGGTCATAAATCTGCCAACCACATCTCTAGACAGACCTGGAGAAGTAGAGAAAGCAAACTGAAGTCTCTGAGGTATTTTGATTTTACTACATGTGACTTGAATATTCCTGTAAAAAAAAAAACCTGCAGCAAATAAAGAGACTGTAGTATGCAACAGATTAAGATATTTAAAAGGCAGAAAAAAAGAGCAGACTTTCTAGTACTTAGTTACAGGTCCTGCTAACTACAGTTTAAATTATCCTTTAAGGAATTTTTGACAGGTTGGTAAATTACAACCTACACAACCTTAATTAATTTTGTCATATCTCCAATTCACTCAGATTGCCTGAGTTTTTTTCCTTCCATATTTTTTTTAGTGGCTCTGAGTTTAGTTGCTCTCCCAAGAAAATTGAGGCACAACAGAAAGAACAGCTGTTTTTTTTTTTTTCATTCATGCTGTGCTTTTTGGCTGAATTCATCAAGGCACAGAAAGATGAAGTATACTGTATTAAACTACAGTAATAACATGAAGCAATAATGTGGGACAGTACCACGGTATTATAAGCGAGAGAATAATATGGGCCTATAGGTTAAATAACTCTTAGCATTCAAACTCCAGAAATTACTCTCATGGGCATTTTGTTAGGTGAAAGTGACTCTAAGAAAAACTGGGATGGTGTAGACTAGGAGACCATGTGAGGCAGACTGGGAGAGGGTAATACTAGGTAAGGGTTCCTCCATGCCAGCTGCACAGTAGGACCACCTAGGGAGCTTTATGAAAGTACGATGCCTGGATCCCAACCTCAGAGACTCTGATTTAATTGATCTGAATAATTTTTAAATAGCTCCTCAGGTAATTCTAATACGCAGTCAGGATTGAGAATCACTGCATCAAATTAGCCTCCATTATACTAGCGACAGTTCTGAAAATCCCTGTGATGAGGCATCAAAACAGAGGGTTTTAAGGGGCAGGGATAGATCAGAAGAGTCAAGTGAGGCTGGGGTTCCAAGGTGCAGCAATTTGAGGCTGAACCCTTCTGTATTTCTGGCATTCCTACTGTCTTGCCTGTCCAATGAGATAGAGTCTGGGTCTCAGGACTCTGGCCAAAAGATCAAAATTGATTTCTACCTCTAAGGAGCCTAGGCCCTGGAGCACATTTTATTCATTTCCAGAAGAAAGAAACCCCTTCTCACTGCAATTCAAGCTCCTATGGGTGTGCCATTATGGGAGTAAGTGTAAAGGGGTAGACTGATTCTAAATACCTTGGTGAAGATAATTCCCCAAGCTCCTGGCTTTTTCCCTCTCAGGGATCCTGTTTGACTTCTTCAGTGCCAGAAGCCTTTCTACTCGAGATCCAGGCTCTCTCTCCATGGTTTGAGGCTCTTTCAACCCTGCTGCTCACCAAATGATCTCTCTACTGGTGTCATTTCTTCTTGTCCTGGTTGTAAGAGCTGAGCCTTTCTCCCAGATTTGAAGAGAGTTTGATGTTGATGTCATGACTTAGGCATATGATCTTCACTGAGTGGCAGGTAGCCTCTGGGGCAGGTAATGCTTCTGGAACAGGGTTACAGACCTTAATGAGAATCTCAACAGCAAAGCCCTTTTATATAATAGTCCTTCAATTATAACTTTCCTATTTATTTTCTTATTTCAGGTTATTTTAATCTATCTTCCTCACTGACACAAGTTCTATTGGGGCTGAGACCAGAGAAGACAATGTGAGACCCTGCATCCAACAGTATTCCTTTTAGAAACTATGCCCAGACTGAGTGGGTGCATTTTTGTTCTAATACTTTTTCTCTTCTGTAGTTTACACAGTAGGAGATAATCTTTGATATGGCAACTATGTCATTCCCCTCAGTGTGCCCAACAACTCACATCTCATAGCTGCAATAGGTCAGAGACAAATTCCATTATGGAGTAAGGAGACAGTCTTCTAAAGGTGCATTGCATGTAGTGAGGTATAGACATAGCAAGCAATGAATGTTACATCCCAGGAGCAGAGTCTGAGAGAAGACGGGTAGTCGTAAATCCTGAAATTACAACAATTCCATGTAATTCATCAGCTTCTGAGTATCTCTCAAGTGACATTTATTAGTAGAAAGCTTTGTAGAACAGAGCGGTATGCTGGCTAGCCAAGTTGATTGCACTTCGAGGGTGAGTGGATTCCTGAATCCCCTATTTAGATATAGGGCTAGAACAAGATTGAGGAGCCAGTGTGAATATTTTCATCTGGCATTTCTTTTCTCTACTGAGTGAATTCCTTTCTCCAACTCCCAGAACATTGTTCAATGAGGTAATAAAAACTACAATTCCAGAAATTGTAGTTGGATACTACTTTGATAATAATATCATTTGAATCTTAGCCTTTATTTACAACACTTCATTTATAGGCACTATAGTTCCCAGAATGCACCAGCAACGTCAGTTTCCTTTACCCCACAATTTTGCTTCAATATTTTTTTGGAATTTGCATTTTTTACCCATATGTTAAAAATACCTGTCTGGATGAAGGAAAATTGAATCTGTGTTCAGCCTATATTACAAAGCACCATTTTCTGTACTAAGGGTTGGACTGTATCCCAGATTTCTAGTTGGACTCATGTCTGAATCAAGCAGCAAATGGTTAAGAAGGCACTCATTTTTTTCCCCTACGGTTTTGAAGTTGGTCTATTTTTCATACAGTTAAAGTGGGGTTTTCCTTTGACAGAAGCCTTAGTAGGATTTTCTCAAGTCAGTTTTCTCTACGTCAAAGTTAGAATCTATTATTCCCAGAGTCTAGCATTGGTGTATGTGACTTTATTTAGATGACTGTATTTTCATGTTTTCCCCATGCTCTCATCTGTCTTCAAGGCTGTTTATCATTTCTCCTTATTTTAAACCACATGCCTCAAATGCTTTTTGCTCCTACTCTTTCTCCTGCTTTGCTGGAGAGAAAGCATGCCTGACTTTGTCATGGTGGAAATATCATAATTCTTGCAGTTTATGTGAACTGTGATTATTAGCGATTGAAATGTTGCTATGCTTAGGAAGATAGTAAAGGTAGAGTGAGATCCTCTCAAAAACAAGACAAAATGAAGGATTGTTAGGGCCATTCTTCACCAGTAAGGATCATGTAGTGCATTCTCCATCATCTAGGGCCATTCTGAGGACTGTAATGATACTGAAGGGTGACATGACATGCATCTTTATCTGCCCCCTAAATGGAGAGATGGGGTCTGGCAAAGCAGGTGTCATTCAGGCTTTTCCCCTCAATGCTCAGATGCCCATGTAAGGTTGGGAAAGGCTATCACAGCCCTGTGGGTAGAAGGTGAAGAGAAGATGGGACATGGACTGTGAGGATAAGAAGGACATGGGGTGGTGGAGAGAGGAGGGAGTGCTAGGTGTGGGTGGGGAGGAGCTTGCATTAATGGAAAGCGGGTGGGAGGACTGGAAGGGGCCTCAGGATAGAGAGGGGGAATGGTGTGAGAATGGAGGGGGAGCCTGGAGAGAAGGGGACTCATGAACGGAACTGACCATAAGGAAGCTTCATAAATTAAAGACATAATCAATAGACAGGCAACATGGGGAGATAAAAAGGTATTGATAGCTTGAAAGATAAAAGGAAATTTTAATTACACTGTGATTGATAAAATACGATGAAAAGTAGTTCTTTGGCTGCTCCTTGACACTGTTCCCTGTTTGGAAGTTCTGAGGATAAACTAGGATTCTAGAGGAGGGAGTCAGACCTTTGCCACTGGATGCTGTCTAAGCAGAAGCAGGTAGCTATTGGGTCAGGATGTCCTAAGAATACTGAGTTGATCATCCCTCTGAGGGCCATTTGCAGTATGTTATATAATAACCTCACAGGACCTTACGCATCAATCGCACACACTGGGGAGTTTGTCTTTAGGGACATTTGTTCAAATCTCTGCAGTCTGTCTGGACCAATGTAGAGCTGCTTTAGCTAATTCATATACTACCCTCTCATTCCAGCCTGATAGTCACAAAAGGTCAGATTTATTCTGCCTTTATAGGACACCTCTTTCTCTAGCTTGAAAGTATCCCAGTTGAAGACTCCCGTCTAGGGTCCGAGGTAAGTTCTCTGCCCCTTCCCAGGGCCTGCACTGGCTGCCACACCATGGCTTCATCCTTCAGAATTGAGGAGCCACTTGCCCTTCTGCAGCAAGAGATGGATAACACAAACACCAGATGCTGTCCCCAGTGAGTCCATGCTTACATTATGCTACCATCCATGCCTTTCCCCCTACCTTGTCCCACCCTACCAATCTGTAAGGTTTAAAACACAGCAGGCCACGGAAGAATTTGCACAGGATCCAATTCTTCCTCTGCTTTCTAAAACAAAATAAGTCTGGAGAAGAACTCAGAGTCATATTTCACTGTAGTCTCCTACTAATTAATTACAAGCAGCCACAATTCATCATACTTTCAATTAACAATTAATTATGTACAAGAGAGACAAATGTTTTATTGAGACCAAGAAACAACACATATCATTTGTAGTGTGGGGTTTTCTCCTCGCACCATAGGGAAAGGTTTATGGGCTACAGATTGTGTGAACCAGTTTTGCTCTGGAAAATACAAATCTACCTGAACTCACAATCAGAATCACAACCTGGAGTCAGAAAGACTCTGGGTTTGGTGCCAGGAGAATTTAGCAGTTAGGCATGCTCCTTTCACTCTGCAGGAGGAAAGTCCTACCCAAGTGGTGTGTACGGTCCTAGCGGGGACCTCAGGATGCAGAGCCCCCCATCAGCTAACACAGTGTTGTGTAAAGGTTCTGATGTCAGGGGGAGTCAGTGAAAGGAAGCAGAAGCAAGGGGCTCCCCTGCTGCACACAGATGGTCCATCTTTGCTAAGAGCACAGGGTGATCACAGAGAGATCCTCAGAAGGGTATGAGAAAGTCTCCTGTTCCAAGTAAGGCCAATAAAAATTGTCTTTTCTTGAATGGACTTTGTGGGGAAGATGAGGACATGTCTGTCTCCAAGATGGGCACAACAGTATGGCAGTGAGGTCTGAGCACTATGAGTTTCTCTACTGAGAAATAGATGTTAATTGCCTGCCCGAAATTTATTTCCCTTTTTCCCCTTCCTGATAGAGCTCCACATTTCCCAATCTTGTAGGACTGACCCATCCTGGTTTTAGGTGCAGACTCCAGGCACTTTGAGCCAATCAGCATATTCCACCTTGGAGGCCCTGTAATGCGTTCGGGGAAACTGAAAGGAGCTGAGGAACTTTTGGGAAAGTTGGAACATAGATTTCTTTTCCTCTGCTGTGCTTAAATAGTGGAGAATATTACTATTGCTACTACATGACTGCTGCTGTTGCTGCTGCTACTATTATTATTATTATTACTACAAACACTAACACTTGCAGGTCTCTTACTTTATGATGGAGACAGTTCCAAATGCTTTACATGTATTTTCTCACTTAAACTCACAACAACCCCATGGAATAGATGATATCATTGTCCCCATTTTAAAGAAGAGGGAATTAAAACTAGAGTAGTTATGTACTTGATCAAGGCCACATGGCTACTAAGCAATGGGGCTAGGATGTAAATCTAGCTATAACCATTCTGCTATGGGAAGCTTGTAACTGCTGAAGACATAAAGTGAAGTCTGAAGCTTCTGAGGGGCTACTGTGAGGACCTCAGGAAGAAATGGGTCCAGAGGAAGCAGAGGTGATATCTTATGAATCCAGTACTGAATTCTTCCTGGAGCCAGAAATAGCTAAGTCTGCCCTTTGAAGTTATGTGAATCAATAGATTTTCTCTGTTGCCTAAGCCATTTTGAGATGGGCTTTCTCTCTCTTTCAATTGAAAACAATTAAACAACAAATGTACAATTTGATACCAGGAAATAAAAGTTGAAAGAGACAGTGCCATGGAGTTGACTGCACTCATGTATAGACAAGGGGAATGAGAGAAAACCCTCAATTTCAGGGAGTGGGATTAGCATACCTTGCTATGTTGTCATGCACTAACTTGTTGAATTGTCTCATGTTGGTTTTGACATTCATACCACTCATCTTTTAAGGTTGTAGCATTAGGGGTCCTGGAAAACTTTATGGTGTTGAATTTGGGTACTTCTCAAAGCCTTTAATAAGGCTTGTTCAATGGTCTAATGATATGTAACAAGCCACTCCAAAACTCAGTGGCTTAAAACACATATTTATTTCAATTTTTCATGATTCTGTGGTTCTTTGGGCTCACTTTGGTGGTTCTTGCTTGGGGTCTGTCATGTTGCTGTCCAGTGATGGCTGAATCTGCCGGCATGAGATAGCTCAGCTGGGTTGTACATCCAGACAGCTCATTCACAGGGTTGGAAGTTGATGCTGGTTGTTTTCTGGGAGCTCTGCTAGGCTGTTGACCAGAGTGCCTTCCCATAATATCTCCAAAGCATGACAGCAGAGTTTTAAGAATGAGTATGCCTAACATTTCAAGAGGCCCAAGTGTAAGCTGAAAGACTTCTTATAACTCAGCCTCGGAGGACTACATAGGGCAAGAATACCAGGAGGTATGGCTCACTGAAAGATCAATTTGGAGACCAACTCCATGAGACCGGCTTTGGAGACCTGCTTTTTCTCAGCCCTACAAGAAAAAGAGGTTTACTCTGGATTTGGCCTGAGGAGTAACAGAGAGGCCCCAGACAGGAAGAACTAACAGAGGCTCTTTCAGCATGATGCCTGCAGTACAAATCAACTGGGTGTGAAATAACCCACCACGTTGCAACACTGAAAGAACGGAGCTCAAGTTACAAACAGGCCAGACTTGATGTAAGAAAGAGGATAATATTGGGGTGCAGGATGATCCTGATTGCCTCCTCTACATCCAAAAAAATACAACTCCAGACAGGTCTCTTAAAACTGCCTCCGATTCTGTTTTCTCTGCCTGGCACACTGAAGACACCCTGCAACACTGCTTTCTGACATGGAGGAAATGGGAGGTGCCTTCCCTTCCTTGGCTTGTGCTTCGAACGTTCCTGAGGCAGAGTGTGAGGTGGAACACGAGTACTATGATGGAGAGGGATGGACCGAGAACCAACATCTAACACCAAGAGGCTAATTGCCGCAGACCCATCTCAGCTGAAGGATATTACTTGTCACGCTCTCTAGCTGAGGCTGCTGCTTCATAGACTGGCTGAAAGTCAATAGATCAGAATTCCATAGAGCCTTAAGAACAGGTTTCCTGACAAAGAAACTCAAGTTCAGCTAAACTTGGTCTGTGATTGTTCCATCCCAGATGAACATAGAGAGATACTGTTATTTTAACTTGCATTTCCTTTTTTCCTAGTAAGTCAAGTATCGTCACATGTTTATTGACTGTTTAATTTTTATCTTCTATGAATTTCTTCATACCTTTTATCTGACATATTATGGATATTACCCCTTTATCATATATCTGTGTTGTAAATATTTTCCCAACATTTTATCTATTGACTTTATTAATGATACAACATTCCACTAAAATATGTAGTAATTTTAAAAGTATTTAGTAATCTAAATACTAAATTTTGAAGTATTTAGTAATCTCTTTTAAAATATAAGACAATTGGACTCTTGTCTTTGTTTTAATAATATCCCTAATACCTCCTGGCCACTTTCCCCTTGCTCAGTCTGGAAGTTCCTAAAGGGCTTTTTCATCAGCGAGAAGATCCCAGCTCCACCTCAAGTCTTAAGAGCTACTCAGAAAATACTAGTGGAAATGAGGAAAGAAAAAAAAGATGAAAGATGATTTTTGTCTTGAGCCATACATGGACCAGTATGGTAACTGAGAAGCAATTATTTTTTGCTGGTATCTGGGCTTTTGATAAATGAAGGGAAAATTCAAAAGGGTAACCATGACACAAGGCAGGACAGCAGACCTCGTTGTGTGTACTCTGGTAAGTGCAGCTTATCAGAGGCAAGGTACAGAGGGTATTTTGGGCCTTTGAGAATGGTCTTGGCTGAGAGGATCCCAGTGCGTGACTCCACTTCCTTCCTGGTCCCCTTCACTGCCTTCCTCTTTGTCCTTTCCTCTTAGCCTCTCATTTTACTTCATTCGTTTATCTCCTTTCCTCTTCCTCCTTTTCTCATTTCCTAATGTTCTTGCTTTTTCTTCTGTTTACTTCCTTGAGTCAAGGCCTCATGGGCTCTAGATTCAGGGATGACCTGAGGACAAGTCCTGCCTTGGTACTTCCCAGGACAGAGCTCAGCTCCTGTTTGGCCTCCCAAGACCCTAGCTTCTTCTGCAGGCAGAAATTCCCCTTTATGTTGGCAGATTTGGGACAACAAGTTAGTGGACAATGCTGAGGTCTTCTTCTTCTGAGGCAGATACTCCTGTGAAGTGCCAGAGCTTCTTCCAGAGGACACAGTTCTAATACCACCACCTCCCTCTGTATACAATAAAGCTCCTCAAATCTTTATAGGTAGTAGGTACTAGGAGAATCTGTTGTTCTGATATGTGATCTTTGACCCCAGCTCCTGATACAGAGCTCCTAAGATCTTTGCAATTTCCTGAATAATAGGATCATTTGGCACAGAGCTTCTAAATCCCTTGGAATTTCCTGTGTGACAAGAGCATCTTTTGTTCTAAACAGGCAATGCTGGATGAGCTCCTGGAGAGCCTCAGGATGGGGGCTGGTTGCCAACAGAACCAACCATGTGGTTAGAGGGTTGGAAATTTCAACCTGAGTCCCTGACCTCCAAAGGAGGGGAGAGGGGCTGAAGGTTGAGTTGATCAACAATGACCAATGATATAATCAATCATGCCTATGTAAGGAGGCCTCCATAAAAACCCAGAAGGATGAGGTTCAGAGAGCTTTGGAAGTGCTGAACACATGGTAATCCCTCCTAAAGGGTGGCACACCCAGATGGGGTGTGGAAGCCCTGCCCCCTTCCCACATGCCTTGCCCTTTGCTTCTCTTCCATCTGGCTGTTCATCTGTATTGTTCATAGTGTCTTTTATAATAAATGAGTAAACATAAGTAATGTGTTTCCCTGATTACTGTGAGCTGATCTAGCAAATTAGTCAAACCTGAGGAAGGTGTCATGGGAATCCCCAATTCACAGCCAGTTGATTAGAAGTTCTGGAGATCCAGATCTAAGACTGGCATCTGAAATGGGGGCAATGTTTGGGACTGAGCTCTTAACCTGTGGGGTCTGACTCTATCTTTAGGTAGAAAGTGTCAGAAGTAAATTGAATTACAGCATACCTGGCTGGTGTCCAACTGGAGTATCACTTGGTGTTTGGAGAAAAACCCACACATGTTTTGGTGACCAGAAGTAAAGTATTCTGTGTTGAATATTGTGTGGTGTAGAGAGTAGAAAAAAAAAACTTAAAAAATATATTTTACACCTTAGCCATGTAAGGAAATTTATAGCCATACTATCAATTTGTTTAATTTATCACTTATTAAGCTTTTATTTTGATTAGTTACTAAAGAACATAACGAGATTTGTCTTTAGGCAAAAAACAAGGCTCAAGGTATATAGTGAGAGAAAGACGTGTTCAAAAATACCTCAGGGTGGAATATTAATAGTGTACAAATAGAAGCATTAAGAACTATGGGAACAGAAGTAAGAAGAGATTAATAATAACAAAGGAAAAATACTATTACATGTAACAGTAGAAGTACCATTACTAGGAGTCAATATTTATTGAGTGCTTATCACAGGCCATGCATTGTGCTAAGCACTTTAAATGCATTCTCTTAATTTTCATGACCAATGTGTGTTATTTAAGTGCTTTTATTTTATTTTTTGAGATAGAGTCTATGTCACCCAGGCTGGAGTGAGGTAGCATGATCTTGGCTCACTACAACCTCCACCTCCCAGGTTCAAGCGATTCTCCTGCCTCAGCCTCCCAAGTAGCTAATTTTGGGAGGCACATGCCACCATGCTGGGCTAATTTTTGTATTTTTAGTAGAGATGGGGTTTTGCCATGTTGGCCAGGCTGGTCTCAAACTTCTGACCTCAGATGATCCGCCCGCCTTGGCCTCCCAAAGTGCTGGGATTATAGGTGTGAGCCACTGCCTGCAGCCTTAAGTGTTTTTATGTTTTCCTTTATGTTTCATGTCATGAAGGTAAACGTAACAAAAACGAAAACACCATGAGGTGGAGTGAGTTTCTCAACACAAACAGGAAGGAAATGTCCAAGCAAGAATCCACACCCAGAGTACCTTACACTAAATTCTAGGCCCTGAGATGTTCCCTCAAGAAGGCAACATTTGAGCTACACTAAAGGGAGCGGAGTGTTTGGAAATGCAGATTTAGCAACACAGGGAAAAGCAAAAGCTGAAACAAACACCTTGAAGACAGATGAATGCAGAATGAGTTCCACTGTTGCCCTCCCGGGAATCATAATGACCCCTAAAGCTACAAGAAATGAACAGTTTGTACTAGCCTAGGAACAGAAAGATAAATCAATGGAATGGAAGGGAGTCCAGAGACTCCTAGATAGATACATGAGATATCAGCGAAGCGGTCCTCACAGGATTAAGAATAATTCTGGACAGAAATATAATTAAGCATTCATCAGGCTACACTTTGGCCCACTTCCTTTCAACCGAAAGTCCCTTAGGACCAGATACTGACCATTTGCATTACCATCGTTCCTGTAGATAGATTTCTGTTGTTAGAATTATAAGGCTTTTCTTTAAGAATTAATCTGCATTCCTATTGTTCTTATAGATAAGATGTCTGACATTAGACTCATAAGGCTTTCATTTAATAATTGCTTAAGATGTTTCTCAGATCCTGAAATCCAGTGGAACAGTTGACACCAACCATTTTGAAGACCCCCATAGAGAAACTGAATCAGCATGAGAAGAGTTTTTTCATCTTCCTCCCTCATGACACTATCTTGCGCTCTTTCACCAACAAATGATCACACTTGGGCCCACTCCAAACCCCTTAAAAACTCTAGCCCCGAACTCCTTAAGGAGATGAAGTTGAGGTTTCTTCCAGTCTCCTCATTCAGTGGCCTTACAATGAAACCTCCTTCTCTGCTGCAACCCAGTGTCTCAGGATATTGACTTGCTGTGTGCATTAGGCAACGAAGCTATTAAGATAACATTGATTTGGGAAAAGATGGCATTTAAAATCAGTGGCTAAATGATGAAGTATTCTAAAATAAATGGCATTAGACATTTTTGGAAGGTTAAAATAAAGGCATACTTCAACCTCAGATTACTTAATTATATATAAAGAATAAAAGGACTAAATAAAAAATATAGTCAATAATAAAAAAACTAAAATATTTTAACAGTTTGGTGATAGGCAAGGTATTCTCATATAAGAACAGAACTCAAAAGCTGTAAGAAAAAAATATACAGATTTGAATATATATGATTTGAACCATTGAATGGCAAAAATTACTAAAAACAAAGTTAAACATTTAAAAGAAAATATTTGCCATCAAAATACTAGACATAGGATTAATAACCCTAATATCTAATGTGTTTTTATAAATAAGTACAAAATAGATATCAACAGAAATAAAAGATAAAAGATGAACAGGTTATTCAAGCAAAAGAAATACAAATAGCTAATGTACTTTTTTTAAAAAGTCAAATTTACCAAAGATAGGGAAAATGCAAGTTCAAACAACAGCATGGCACCATGGATTTCCTATCATGTGGGCAATATTAAAAATGGTTTGACTGTACCAGGGATGGTGGGAATGTGAAGAAGAGAGTACTAGGAAAGAGACGCACTGTTGGGCATTTCATTTTCTTTGCAGCACCCACTTTGTTGGGAAATGACTCTCTTCTGCATTCAAGCCCCTTGGTGGTCATCGTCTTATAGGACTTTGTCCATTCCAGAAGTCAAGGACTTTCAAAGGGGAAGACTTTCCTTTTAAGTTTTTTTATTACAGTTTTTATTTTGAAATAATGATAGATTCATAAGCAGTTGTGAGAAATACAGAGACAGTCCCTGTATGCTTCAGGCAGTTTCTTCCAATTTGTAACATCTTGCAACATTAGAGTACAATGTCACAATCAGGATAACTGACACTGATATAGTCAAGATATGACATTTCCATCACAAGAATCCCTCCTGTTCTTTTACAGCCATACTCACTTCCCTCCCCTCCTCACCTTCCCCCACTGCCTCCTTAATCACTGGTCATCACTAATCTGTTCTCCATTTCTATAATTGTGGTGTTTCAAGAAGATTCCATAAGTGGTACATACCATACAGTATGTACCCTTTTGGGATTGGCTTTTTTCACTCGGCATAATTGTCTGGAGATTCATCCAGGTTCTTGTGTATATCAATGGTGCATTCCTTTTTATTGCTGAGTAGCATTGTAAGGTGAGGATGTACCACAATTTAACAATTCACTCTCTAAAGGAATCAGTTGTTTCCAGATTTTGGCTATCACGCATAAAGCCTCCATAAATATTCATGTTCAGGATTTTGTGCGATTGTAAGTTTTTATTTCACCAGAGAAAATGCCCAAGACTGTGATTGCTGAGTTGTTTAGTAGTCACAGCTTTAGTTTTTTTGTTTTTCTTTTTTCTTTTTTTTTAACTGCCAAACCTTGTTCCAGAGTGGGTGTACCATTTTACATTCCCACCACGAGAGGTCCAGTTTCTCTGCATCCTTGCCGGTAGTTGGTGTTGTCACTGTTCTTTTTTTTTTTTTTTTTTTTTGAGACAGAATTTCTCTCTTGTTGCCCAGGCTGGAGTGCAATAGTGCAATGGCGCGATCTCAGCTCAGCACAACCTCTGTCTCCCAGGTTCAAGCAGTTCTCCTGCCTCAGCCTCCCGAGTAGCTGGGATTACAGGCATGCACAACCATGCCCAGCTAATTTTGTATTTTTAGTAGGGGCGGTATTTCTCCATGTTGGTCAGGCTGGTCTCGAACTCCCAACCTCAGGAGATCCACCCGCCATGGCCTCCTGAGGTGCTGGGATTACAGGCGTGAGCCACTGTGCCCGGCATTACTGTTCTTTATTTTAGCCATTATAATATTATGCAATGACATTTTGTTGTGATTTTAATTTTCATTTCTCTAATAATGATGTTGGACATCTTTTCGTGTGCTATTTGACTTGTGAATTGTATTAACATTTTTTAGCATTCCATTTTTATTTATTGTGCTTTTGAGTACACATCTTGAACAGCTTTTTTAGTGACTACTCTCCATATTACCTTATGTACGAAACATTATAGTCTACTTGTTTCATCCTTTCACCAATGTGACTAAAGTCTAGAAATTTTACCTACCTTATGTCTTTTTATTTGCCTCTGTTTAGAATATAATTGTCTTAGATATGTCACGTGCATACATTTAGAGCCACATTAGAAAGTGTAATAATTTTTGCTTCCACTGTCAAACATAATTTAGAAAACTCAAGAGGGAAGGAAAGTTGATTATATTTACCCATATTTTGTTTATAATGTTCTGTCTTCTTTGTTGATCTTTCAATATTCTTTCTTTTATCATTTCTTCTGCTTAAAGAACTTTGTTTAGTCATTCTTCTGGGTAGGTCTGCTGGGAACAAATTCTCTTAGTTTTCCTTCATATAAGAATGTTCTTATTTCCCCTTCATTTCAGGAGAATATTTTCAATGTTTGCAGGAATCTGGGTTAATTGTTCTTTTTTTCTGCACTTGAAAAATGTTCTGCCACTTCTGTCTGACCTGCATGCTTTCTGATGACAAATCCATTCTACTCAAATTATTTTTCCCTTATAGATATTTTATCTCCTGCTGTTTTCAAGATTTGTTTCCCCTTGTCTTTAGTTTTAAGATATTTGGTATAATTTATCTTGATGTGGATTTTTTGTTTATCCTATTTGCTCAGCTAAAGCCTGTAGATTTATGTCTTCAGTCAAATTTAAGAATTTTTCAGCCATTATATTTTCAAGTTCTTTTTCAGCCCTGGACTCTTTCTCTCTTCTTCTGGAACTATTATCATGTGAAAATTAGATCTTTTTTTATAGTCTCACAGGTCTCTGAGGCTCTGTTCCTCCTTCCCCCTTTTGTTTTTTCTATTTTTTCCCTATTGTTCAGATTGGGTACTTTCTAGTGTTTTACACACTTCATTCATTCCTTCATCTGTTCCTTCCATTCTGCTCTCCAGACCATCCATTATGTTTTTTATTTTAGTTATTATATTTTTCTGTCCTAAAATTTCCACTTGGTGATTCTTTATATATCTTCTCTGTATTTGCCGAAACTTTCTGGCTTTTCTTTTCAAGTTTTTTCATAACTGCCCACTGAAGCATTTTTATGATGGCTATTTTACAGTCTTTGTCAGGTAATTCTAATACCTCTGCCATCTTGGTGTTGGCATCTATGGATTGCCTATTTCTATTCAAGTGGAATTTTTCTGGCTCGGTAATTTTTTCTTAAGAACTGGACATTTGGGGTATTAGGTTATAAGATGCTAGGTCTTGTCTAAACCTTCTGTTTTTAGTTGGCTTTTTCTGATACTGCTCTGGCAAGGGAAGGGGGTGCATGGTGTAGCTGCTACCAAGTTGGAGTGGAAGTCCAGGTTCCCACTCAGACTCTGTAAACCCCAGAGTGTGTGAGTGTGCCAGGGGTCTCTGTGTTCCTGTTGCATGAGGCAGGGGTTCTAAAATGGCCCCTTACTGGGCCTTGGGTCAAAGCACTTTTACTGGGAGGGATAAGAGTGCCTCCTTAATCCCTCTACATGGCCTCCACTGACACCATAGTGGGGTGGCCTCAATGACACCTAGGAGTGGTAACAGTCTTGACTCTCCCCTAGGCTTCCAGCAGAAAGTGGGAGGAACACTTCTTTACTGCGAGTTGGGAATAAGTCCAGGTTATCCACATGTGCACCATAGTGGGTGGAGGTTAGGGCGGTTATTACTGCCCAGCAGAGATGAGTGTCCTGGCTCCCTCCGCAGCCTTTTCTAATAATCATGAGGGTGTGTGTGGCAGGGATGGTGTTAGGGGCACCTCCGCTCAGCCTGACAGTGTGAAAGTCTTCTTTAGCTCCAAGTCTGGTGTATAGGAGGCAAAAAGAAAACCCAGGAAACTCGCCACCATGCTATTCTTTGGGTCCTGAGATCTTTAGCCCATCTGCCTTCCTTTCTCCAACTTTCAGGGCGTCCTTCTGTTTGTTTTATATATAATGTGTAGGAATAATGAAGAGATTAAGGAAAATTATGAGAGTATCATCCTACTTTCTGCACAGTGACTTCATAATGCATTTTCAGCATCTGCTAAGCAGGTTCTCTCCCATTCATCTGCTTTATACATTTTTTGAACACTATCAGACTATTTTATCCTTTCTGAAAGATCATTTTATCTTGTTTCAAAAGAATAACCACAAAATTGGAATTTTAATTGGAACTGAGTTAAGTATATGTACACATTTTATATTAATTAGGGGAAAATAATATTTTTATGATAGTCTTACATCCAAAAACATGCAATGTTTCATTTTTATTGTTCTATTTTATGTTCTTTGAGATCTAATAGTTTTCTTATGATAGGTTAAATGCTTTTTATTGTTAAATGTATTCCTAAGAAATCTATTTCATTTAGTTTTTACTATGAATTGATTATTTTTCTCCATTTATGTCTAGCAAAGATGCTATTAGTTTTGTATACCTACCTTGTACCCAGTCACTTTGTCAAATACTGTTAGTAATTTTGTGAGCTTTTTACTGGAATCTTTTGTAGCTTTTAGGCATGCAATCATATTATCAACAAAAATGTTTTTAATTATTTGCTCCTCATCTCCATTGCAATATTAATTACTTTATGAGTTTAGTGGTCAAAAAAGAAATACTGAAAAAAATACCTTTCTATGTGGAAATGGTTTAATCAATGTCAAGTTGTCCACAAAACTGAAAGATAACTGCATGTGGAAATAAGTTAACTTGGATAGATTTCAACAGTGAAAAAGCAAAATGCTGTAATATGATTCTGTTTTTTTCTAAAATAACAGAAAAGTGTCAGTATGTAGATATATATACAATATATGTGTATATGATTATATAGGTAGAGGGAAAGCTACGGAAAGATGTCAATAGAGTTATATTTATGACGGGTAGATGAGCAAAAACAAACAAAAAAGACTGCATTACACTATGATGTTAATCACCATGGAAACAGCACAAATGATAAAATTCCAATCATATTAAATTACAAAGAGATCTATAAAAAGACACATGGAGTGATGGCCAAAGCCATGTTACGGTGCCCATGATCTCAGGTGGAATTTCAGGGTAATTTGGTTTTTGTTTTATTTTTTATGAATTATTCACAATGTTTACTATAAGAAATTATATGATGATAAAAACACAAGATAAAGCTTTTTTTATTATAATGTTTGTTTTAAAGCACAATGCCATTAAGGCAATTCCAGCTTAAGAATTAACTTGTGACTTTTGCAAATCTGTGCCATATTGGTTAAATTTCTTTGATAAAAACTCTAGAAAATGAAAGAGAAACAATAAGAACCAAATAATCAATTTAAATAGCCTGAATTGAAGACAAAACTTTGCAATAATCTTTTGGAAGGAAAAAGGCCTCGGCAGCACTGGAAGTCTAGAAAGTGGGAAGTGGTGATCAATTTCTTGGTACTTCAGAGTGAATGCACTCAGATTGTTTTCCTCCTGGGGATCACTGGGAGCAAGAATTAAAGTCTTAAGTCATAGAGCACAACTGTCCAAGCTTGGCTTACAAGCAAGGCCCTTGTTCAGAGTAGGCTGGAGCTGACTGGTTTAGTCTTGCCAAGAGTATATACAAAGAGGAAAGGGAATACTTTCCTAAAGAAGGATTGGGATGCACTCACCAAAAGAAGGGGATAACCAGTCTGGGGAGAATTAAAAAAATAACCAAGCAGGGGCTCATAAAGGCTGAGGGTCTGCCAGATGCGATATCCTCTGCTGGGATGGTCACTGCTCAGTCTGAGTCCATCTGCATTCCTCTTCCTTCCCACAGGCATTGGGGGTTCAGCCTGCAGTTCTCTCCACTAAGTACATTCACAGGACTCCCCTTCCTTCAGGTCTCACAGTCTCTGTCACTATTTTTCCTTCATGTTTCCCTTGCCTGTTGGAGTTCAGGCTCACTTCTTCAAATGGACATACGGTTATAGCAATAAATCAAAAGGGAATAAAAAGAGCAAGATGTACTATAAACTGTCTCAGTCGAAGGGATAAATAATCTGAGGAAAGTCAGGTTAAAAGAAATAACTACCATGAAGAATTAAACATTTATTGGATCACCGTGGTACCCCAGAAAAGACAGAGGAATAGGATTGGTGGAAGAAGATACCCCTAACTGGTCCATGCTGGGAGCAGGCCTTTAGCTATCTGCTGAGATGAGTGCCACCCATTCACAAAAATTTGAGGAGACTTTAAATGAAGAACTTTTCCTTCTTCACATGAAAAGACCCACCATTAGGGACTTTGTTCAGAAACTTTGGTGGGCATTCAGCTTCAAGGAATCTTTCTGTGTGTGGATCCTGTTTAGCTACACTAGTGGCTGAGAGCAATAATCATTTATCCTTTCTCTCAGGTGTGGGTCTGCGGGGGTGAATCTCCTTCTTGGTTCAGGTGTGCGCGTTGCTGGGGTCATCTATTCTCTATTCTGGTCTCAGGCAGAAGAGGCATCAGCTAATGGGGGAAACTTTTCTAATGGAAGTGGCACAAGTGGGAGAGGAAAAGGCCACCAGTGCCAGCACATCGCAAGCTTCTGTTTGTATTGCATCTGCTAATGTTTTATTGGCCAAAGCAAATCGTGTGCTGTGTCTGATATCTAGGGACTGGAACTTCCTACTCCATGGAGGTTGTGGCTGGGGAGAGGCAGTGAGTGATTTTGAACATGGAAACCATCTCCATTCCCACAAGATCCTGCCTGAGTGGGTCAGGGGATAATCAGAGATCCCAGAGTTGGGTAGATGTGTCCCCCAGTGGACTAAAAAAGAACTGACCAAAAAAATGTTGAAAGAGAAGAGGAAAGGAAAAGAGAGAATGAGGGAATCTGAAACTCTGTTAAATATTAACTATCATTGTTTTGGAGTGACAATATGATATGTGATTAGGATTTTCTATATTATTTTCAGCATCTGGCACGGATATCTAATGTTTTCTTAATCGGAAATAATACACAAAAGAAAGAAAGAAAGAGAGAGAAAGACAGAAAAAGAAAGAAAGGAAAACAAAACAAAGAAAGAAGGAAAGAAAGAAAGAACGAGAGAAAGAGAAGAAAAGGAAAGAAAGAAGGAAGGAAGGAAAGAAGGAAGAAAGAAAGGAAGGAAGGAAAGAAGGAAGAAAGAAAGGAAGGAAGAAAGGAAGGGAGAGAGGAAGGGATGGAGGGAGGCAGGGAGTTTTCCAAGGAGCCTTTTGCTTCTCAGCTAGTGGAAGCAAGAACAACACAGCATTGACAGCGGGGACCGGAGAACATTTGGTTTTTTAAATATAGTTTTTAAAGGGAAAGTGAATTCTACAAAATGCCCATTTTTCTATGCTAGTTAAATTCTGCACCCAGGGCAGAGGCTAAAGATCACATTTTTATAAGAATTTTTTTTTTAAGAGATAGAAAACCTCTTTTGGAATTGGTGTCCATTCTCAATTCTGTTAAAAGGATGATGATTTATTGGGTCAAATATGCTGACTTTCTTCTCCTATTCTTCTTCTCTCATTTCCTCATCTGAAAAACTAAGATGCTGAATGCAATGATTGCTAAGATCCCTTGGAGATCTAACTTTCAGTAATTCTAGTATTTTTCCTTCAGCTCAGTTATTTCCGGGTCTACTATTTGAAAACATGCTCCAAGGCAAGAGGTCGAATTATTTACCCTGCTTCATGCTGACATTTTCATAGTAGCTACCAGAAAAGAAAATGTGAGCAGTTCTTTTATTATTGTTTTTCAGTTACACAAATATTAATAGGTGTTATACAAATTTAAAAATATAAACAAAATAAAAATCACCAAACCCCAACACTATTAACCTTTCACAGTATGTTTCTAGCATTCTTTCAGTGTGTGAATATCATAACTTATTTTGAACAATTATTGATCTCATTTTTTTAACTTTATGTATTGTGACATTTCTCCATGCAATTAGATTATCTTCTAAGCATTTACCTTGAAGGGTTAGATAAGATTTAATAACTAAATTCTTTATAAACTGTATTATTGCTAACCTATTTTTTGACCTATTTTTTTTTTTAGTATAGAGTAGGGATGAAATCCATGGGTTTTGAGATTTGATAGCCCGAGCTTGAAAGACTGGGTCTATTATTTACAGACTGTAAAAGAAGTAAAGTCTTAAGTTGTAGAGTACAACTATCCAAGCTTGGGTTACAAGCAAGGCCCTTGTTCAGAGTAGGCTGGAGTTGACTGGCTTAGTCTTGCCAAGATTATATGCAAAGGGGAAAGGTAATACTTTCCTAAATAAGGATCTGGATGCACTCACCAAAAGAAGGGGTAACCAGTCTGGGGAGAATAAAAAAAAAATACCAAGCAGGGGCTCATAAAGGCTGAGCATCTGCCAGAGCCTGTATCCTCTGCTGGGATGGTCACTGCTCAGTCTGAGTCCATCTGCATTCCTCTTCCTTCCCACAGGCACTGGGGATTCAGCCTGCAGTTCTCTCCACTAAGTACATTCACAGGACTCCCCTTCCTTCAGGTCTCACAGTCTCTGTCACTATTTTTCCTTCATGTTTCCCTTGCCTGTTGAAGTTCAGGCTCACTTCTTCAAATGGACACACGGTTATAGCAATAAATCAAAAGAGAATAAAAAGAGCCAAGATGTACTATAAACTGTCTCAGTCGAAGGGATAAATAATCTGAGGAAAGTCAGGTTAAAAGAAATAACTACCATGAAGAATTAAACATTTATTGGATCACCGTGGTACCCCAGAAAAGACAGAGGAATAGGATTGGTGGAAGAAGATACCCCTAACTGGTCCATGCTGGGAGCAGGCCATTAGATATCTACTGAGATGAGTGCCACCCATTCACAAAAATTTGAAGAGACTTTAAATGAGGAACTTTTCCTTCTTCACATGAAAAGACCCACCATTAGGGACTTTGTTCAGAAACTTTGGTGGGCATTCAGCTTCAAGGAACCAAAGTGCAGTATTACTGACCTGAGTAGACAGAAGATACATCTGTATATGTATTTGTAAAGTTATTGTCACTGTTCCCAAACTGAGTAATCACGAGCTGAAAAGGAAAAGGAAGTTGTGGGGGCATCATAGGTCCCCTTGCCATTCTGGCACCAGACACTTCTGTGAAGTTGAGTCAGGGGCCATGGGCCCTTTGCATTTCTGTATGTGAGAATAAGCAATAGATCATGTGAAGCAAAGCACCCACAGGCATTCTTCTGGAAGTGACTCTTTGTGTCTCAAACTGCTTAGCCCCTATCTGATCATCTGGTTTGATTAACAACCGTAGGGCAGCCTGGAACACACATGATCCCTCGACCTTAATCCCTTAGGGTGTGGCAGTTAAGGGAAGGCTCTCAGGTCTGAAGGGGTTGGACTAAACAGAAACAGAAAGGACATACACTCATACCTTAAAAGTACACAGTGCCTCATGGTGTAAGAACTCACTGCACTTGCACTATTACTGGCATTTACAATTGTTTCCCCAATAAATAATGAACATCCTTGTATGTGCTTTTCTCCTGCTGGTGATTTTATTTTTATATATTAATTTAATTTTTAATTGACAAAAATTATGTGAATATATGGTGTACAACATGATGTGCTGATATATGCATATATTTTGAAATGACTAAATTAAGCTAATTAACATATCCATTACCTCACATACTTATTATTACTTTTGTTGTGGTGAGAACATTTAAAGTCTATTTTCTTAGCAATTTTCAAGTCTTACTATTTCCTTAGGACAATATCTTAGAAGTGCAATTGTCTTTTTAAGTATGGCTATTTTTAAGGCTTTTAATAAATACAGACCATCTTGACCTAAGAATGAGGTGACCAATTTACATTCTAATGAGAGGATTTGCTTCCCTATGTTTTCACCTAAATTAGTATGAAATACATAGCTAAGTTTTGTTTCTATGATTCTAAAAGTAATATTATGAACATGTTTATTGTGAAAGCTCCAAAACTTTGTTTTTAAACAAGTACATTTTTCAACAAAAGTAGCTCTGAGCCATTATTTTTAATGCAAGCTAGTATCCCATGGACTGATGGTATTTTATTTCACCAGTTCTTTATTAATAGGCATTTATATTGGATATATTATTTTGCTACCTGCTAAATTTTATGATTTGTCTCGCACATATATTTAGTGAATTTGTCCAATTATGCCCTTCATGTAAATTTTAGAAGTTAATTTACTAAGTTAAAGCATAATCAGCCATATAAGTTTAATTTGTTAATTACTCATTAGCAAATTACTACTTTGAAAGGTTATACTAACTTATATTTGCTTCAGTGGTGGCCAGTTGTGCACACCCTTGATAACACTAATTATTGTTATTTTCAACCTTTATTAAATTTTAGGAACAAAAGGCATATCTTTTTCTAAATTATAGTTCTTAATTTATTACTGTTTGAATATTTTTGCTTATGTTTAAAAGCCATTTGTATTTACCTTTTGGGGAATCTCCATATTCTTTTTTCTCATGAAGTTCTTTTTTGTTTGCTATATATACTATTAATATTATCCTAATAATATTATTAATAATTTTTACATATTATACATAATTTAACACTATATATTAATATATTGCTATTTATCAGGGACACTATTTTTTCTATGTATTTACAGTATTTCCCTAGTTATTTGTTTGGCTCAAACCTGTCTTTTTAATGCTAAGATTAGAATGACCTGTTATTCCTAGATTACAAGCATATTTTTCTAAGAATTTTTTCAGTTATTTTAAAATTTTATTTTTATTTGACTCTTGAACTTCTCTAGAAGTATTTAGGTGTCATCTATAACATTAGAATCTAATTTTATTTTGTCCAAATTTAGCCAGTTTTCCTAGTACCATTTGATAAATAATTCATTATTTTAAGCATTTAAAACTCATCTTTAGCATGTGTTAGATTCCATTTTGTTTGTCTGTTTCAGAGTTCTCAGTTCTCTTTCCTTGTTCTGTTAGTGTGTGCACCATCATCAGGTGGGTTAAATCATAGTGTCTTTTAATGTGCCTTAATAATGTGTTCCTTCATCACTTTTTGTGAATATTTTTCTGTGTTTTCATAGAAAAATGCAAAAGTAAAAATCATTTTTTGGTCAAATTAAGAACTACTCCCATTTTAATTTTGATGAAAATTAGGAGAGAATGACGTATTCATAATCATGAGTCCTTCTATCCAAGAGCATGCCTGGTCTCATAATTACACCATTTAGTCAAGTTTTATAGTTTCCATCAGGTAAGTTTTTTAAATTATATCTTTTTATGTCACAATGTTTATTCTATATTAGCATAGAATTTTTTCTTAATAATTCACATTTATAATTATCAGCATTATAGTTCTTGCTTTTGTAATAGTTATCATTTTTGGCCTTATTACTAAACATCTTTCATCATTCTAATATATTTCTATCTGGTATTTTTCAGTTATTTCCAGTCAAGCAGTCATATTTGTAAGCCATGATAACTTTGGTCCTTCTGTTTAATTATTACACTTTTCTTATCTGTAATATTAACTAGAAGTTCTAGAACATCCAAAATAATTACAGTGATGCTATGCTTCCTTTTTTCTTCCTGAATATAATAGAAATGCTTCAAGACATGGCCAATATTTTCTACTGATTTCTGATAGATATTCTTTATCATACCAAATAAGTAGCTTTCTGCTCTGAGTTTTCCTAGAATTTTTTTCCCTTTGGTTAGGATCAAATGTTAAATTTTACAAAACGCTTTCTCATCATCTATTGAGATGTCCATGCATTTTTTTCTTCCTTTCACCTATAATGTGATGAACTAAAAATACTTCTAGGATTTAGGTTCCAAGGGGGCTGAAAAGGAACAACTCTAGTCTACAGCTCCCAGCGTGAGTGACATGGAAGATGGGTGATTTCTGCATTTCCAACTGAGGTACTGGGTTCATCTCACTGGGGCTTGTTGGACAGTGGGTGCAGGACATTGAGTGCAGCCCACAGAGTGTGAGCCAAAGCAGGGCAAGGCATTGCCTGGCCCGGGAAGTGCAAGGGGTTGGGGAATTCTCTTTTCTAACCAAGGGAAGCTGTGACAGATGGCACCTGGAAAATCGGGTTACTCCCAACCTAATACTGTTCTTTTCCAACGGTCTTAGCAAACAGCACACCAGGAGATTATATCCGGCACCTGGCTCGGAGGTTCCCACGCCCATGGAGCCTTGCTTATTGCTAGCACAGCAGTCTGAGATCGAACTGCAAGGCAGCAGAGAGGCTGGGGGAGGGGCAGCCACCATTGCTGAGGCTTGAGTAGGTGAACAGAGCAGCCAGGAAGCTCAAATTGGATGGAGCCCACCCCAGCTCAAAGAGACCTGCCTGCCTCTGTAGACTCCACTTCTAGGGGCAGGGCATAGCTGAATAAAAGGCAGCAGAAACTTCTGCAGACTTAAACGTCCCTGTCTGACAGCTTTGAAGACAGTAGTGGTTCTCCCAGCACAGCATTTGAGATCTGAGAATGGACAGACTGTGGCCTTAAGTGGGTCTCTGACCCCCGAGTAGCCTAACTGGGAGGCACCTCCCAGTAGGAGCTGACTGACACCTCATATGGCTGGGCGCCCCTCTGAGATGAAGTTTCCAGAGGAAAAATCAGACAGCAACATTTACTGTTCTGCAATATTTGTTGTTCTGCAGCCTCTGCTGGTGATACCCAGGAAAACAGAGTCTGGAGTGGACCTCCAGCAAACTCCAACAGACCTGCAGCTGAGCGTCCTGACTGTTAGAAGGAAAACTAACAAACAGAAAAAAATCCACACCAAAACCCCATCTGCACATCACCATCATCAAAGACCAAAGGTAGATTAAAACCACAAAGATGGGGAGAAACCAGAGCAGAAAAGTTGAAAATTCTAAAAATCAGAGTGCCTCTTCTCCTCCAAAGGACCGTAGCTCCTTACCAGCAATGGAACAAAGCTGGATGGAGAATGACTTGACCAGTTGAGAGAAGAAGGCTTCAGGCAATCAGTAATAACAAACTTCTCCCAGCTAAAGGAGGATATTCGAACCCATTGCAAAGAAGCTGAAAACCTTGAAAAAAGATTAGACCAATGGCTAACTGAATAAACAATGTAGAGAAGACCTTAAATGACCTGATGGAGCTGAAAACCATGGCACGAGAACTACGTGACGCAAGCACAAGCTTCAGTAGCCGATTCAATCAATTGGAAGAAAGGGTATCAGTGATTGAAGATTAAATGAATGAAATGAAGCAAGAAGAGAAGTTTAGAGAAAAAAGAGTAAAAGGAAACGAACATAGCCTCCAAGAAATATGGGACTGTGTGAAAAGACCAAGTCTATGTCTGATTGGTATACCTGAAAGTGACAAGGAGAATGGAACCAAGTTGGAAAACACTCTGCAGGATATTATCCAGGAGAACTTCCCCAACCTAGCAAGGCAGGCCAACATTCAAATTCAGGAAATACAGAGAATGCCACAAACATACGCCTCGAGAAGAGCAACTCCAAGACACATAATTGTCAGATTCACCAAAGTTGAAATGAAGGAAAAAATGTTAAGGGCAGCCAGAGAGAAAGGTCGGGTTACCCACAAAGGAAAGCCCATCAGACTAACAGTGGATCTCTCCGCAGAAACTCTACAAGCCAGAAGAGAGTGGGGGCCAATATTCAACATTCTTAAAGAAAAGAATTTTCAAACCAGAATTTCATATCCAGCTAAACTAAGCTTCATAAGTGAAGGAGAAATAAAATCCTTTACAGACAATCAAATGCTGAGAGATTTTGTCACCACCAGGCTGCCTTACAAGAGCTCCTGAATGAAGCACTTAACATGGGAAGGAACAACCAGTACCAGCCACTGCAAAAACATGCCAAATTGAAAAGACTATTGATGCTAGAAGAAACTGCATTGACTAACAAGCAAAATAACCAGCTAACATCATAATGACAGGATCAAATTCACACATAACAATATTAACCTTAAATGTAAATGGGCTAAATGCTCCAATTAAAAGACACAGACTGGCAAATTGGATAAAGAGTCAAGACCCATCAGTGTGCTGTATTCAGGAGACCCATCTCACATGCAGAGACACATATGGGCTCAAAATAAAGGGATGGAGGAACATCTACCAAGAAAATGGAAACAAAAAAAAGCAGGGGTTGCAATCCTAGTCTCTGATAAAACAGACTTTATACCAACAAAGATCAGAAGAGACAAAGAAGACCATTACATAATGGTAAAGGGTTCAATTCAACAAGAAGAGCTAACTATCCTAAATATATATGCACCCAATACAAGAGCACCCAGATTCATAAAGCAAGTCCTTAGAGACCTACAAAGAGACTTAGACTCCCACACAATAATAATGGGAGACTTTAACACCCCACTGTCAACATTAGACAGATCAACGAGACAGAAAGTTAACAAGGATATCCAGGAATTGAACTCAGCTCTGCACCAAGCGGACCTGATAGACATCTACAGAACTCTCCATTCCAAATCAACAGAATATACATTCTTCTCAGCAGCACATCACACTTATTCCAAAATTGACCACATAGTTGGAAGTAAAGCACTCCTCAGCAAATGTAAAAGAACAGAAATGATAACAAACTGTCTCTCAGACCACAGTGCAATCAAACTAGAACTCAGGATTAAGAAACTCACTCAAAACCGCTCAACTACATGGAAACTGAACAACCTGCTCCTGAATGACTACTGGGTAAATAACAAAATGAAGGCAGAAGTAAAGATGTTCTTTGAAACCATTGAGAACAAAGACACAACATACCAGAATCTCTGGGACACATTTAAAGCAGTGTGTAGAGGGAAATGTATAGCACTAAATGCCCACAAGAGAAAGGCAGGAAAGATCTAAAATTGACACCCTAACATCACAATTAAAAGAACTAGAGAAGCAAGAGCAAACACATTCAAAAGCTAGCAGAAGGCAAGAAATAACTAAGATCAGAGCAGAACTGAAGGAGACAGAGACACAAAAATCCCTTCAAAAAATCAATGAATCCAGGAGCTGGTTTTTTGAAAAGATACAAAAAAATTGATAGACTACTAGCAAGATTAAAAAGAAGAAAAGAGAGAAGAATCAAATAGATGCAGTAAAAAATGATGAAGGAGATATCACCACTGATCCCACAGAAATACAAACTACCATCAGAGAATACTATAAAAACCTCTATGCAAATAAACTAGAAAATCTAGGAGAAATGGATAAATTCCTGGACACATACACCCTCCCAAGACTAAACCACGAAGAAGTTGAATCCCTGAATAGACCAATAACAGGCTCTGAAATTGAGGCAATAGTTAATAGACTGCCAACCAAAAAATGTCCAAGACCAGATGGATTCACAGCCGAAGTCTATCAGAGGTACAAGGAAGAGCTAGTACCATTCCTTCTGAAGGTATTCCAATCAATAGAAAAAGAAGGAACCCTTCCTAACTCATTTTATGAGGCCAATATCATCCTGATACCAAAGCCTGGCAGAGACACAACCAAAAAAGAGAATTTTAGACCAATATCCCTGATGAACATTGATGCAAAAATCCTCAATAAAATATTGGCAAAACGAATCCAGCAGCACATCAAAAAGCTTATCTACCATGATTAAGTGGGCTTCATCCCTGGGTTGCAAGGCCAGTTCAACATACGGAAATTAATAAATGTAATCCAGCGTATACACAGAACCAAAGACAAAACCCACATGATTATCTCAATAGACGCAAAAAAAGCCTTTGACAAAATTCAACAGCCCTTCATGCTAAAAACTCTCAATAAATTAGGTATTGATGGGACGTATCTCAAAATAATAAAAGCTATTTATGACAAACCCACAGCCAATATCATACTGAATGGGCAAAAACTGGGAGCATTCCCTTTGAAAACTGGCACAAGACAGGGATGCTATCTCTCACCACTCCTATTCAACATAGTGTTGGAAGTTCTGGCCAGGGCAATCAGGTAGGAGAAAGAAATTAAGGGTATTCAATTAGGAAAAGAGGAAGTCAAATTGTCCCTGTTTGCAGATGACATGATTGTATATTTAGAAAACCCCATCGTCTCAGCCCAAAATCTCCTTAAGCTGATAAGCAACTTCAGCAAAGTCTCAGGATACAAAATCAATGTGCAAAAATCACAAGCATTCTTATACAACAATGACAGACAAACAGAGAGCCAAATCATGAGTGAACTCCCATTCACAATTGCTTCAAAGAGAATAAAATAACTAGGAATCCAACTTACAAGGGATGTGAAGGACCTCTTCAAGGAGAGCTACAAACCACTGCTCAATGAAATAAAAGAGGACACAAACAAATGGAAGAACAATCCATGCTCATGGATAGGAAGAATCAATATCATGAAAATGGCCATACTGCCCAAAGTAATTTATAGATTCAATGCCATCCCCATCAAGCTACCAATGACTTTCTTCACAGAATTGGAAAATACTACTTTAAAGTTCATATGGAACCAAAAAGAGCCCACATTGCATAGACAATCCTAAGCCAAAAGAACAAAGCTGGAGGCATCACACTACCTGACTTCAAACTATACTACAAGGCCACAGTAACCAAAACAGCATGGTACTGGTACCAAAACAGAGATATAGACCAATGGAACGAAACAGAGCCCTCAGAAATAATACCACACATCTACAACCATCTGATCTTTGACAAACCTGACAAAAACAATAAATGGGGAAAGGATTCCCTATTTAACAAATGGTGCTAGGAAAACTGGCTAGCGATATGTAGAAAGCTGAAATTGGATCCCTTCCTTATACCTTATACAAAAATCAATTCAAGATGGATTAAAGACTTAAATGTTAGACCTAAAACCATAAAAACCCTAGAAGAAAACGTAGGCAATACCATTCAGGACATAGGCATGGGCAAGGACTTCATGTCTAAAACACCAAAAGCAATGGCAACAAAAGCCAAAATTGACAAATGGGATCTAATTCAACTAAAGAGCTTCTGCACAGCAAAAGAAAATACCATCAGAGTGAACAGGCAACCTATAGAATGGGAGAAAATTTTTGCAATCCACTCATCTGACAAAGGGCTAATATCCAGAATCTACAATGAACTCAAACAAATTTACAAGAAAAAAACAAACAACCCCATCAACAAGTGAGCAAAGGATATGAACAGACACGTCTCAGAAGAAGACATTCATGCAGCCAACAGACACATGAAAAAATGCTCATCATCACTGGCCATCAGAGATATGCAAATCAAAACCACAATGAGATGCCATCTCACACCAGTTAGAATGGCGATCATTAAAATTTCAGGAAACAACAGGTGCTGGAGAGGATGTGGAGAAAAATGGGAACAGTTTTAAACTGTTGATGGGACTGTAAACTAGTTCAACCATTGTGGAAGACAGTGTGGCGATTCCTCAGGGATCTAGAACTAGAAATACCATTTGACCCAGTCATCCCTTTACTGGGTGTATACCCAAAAGATTATAAATCATGCTGCTATAAAGACACATGCACAGGTATGTTTATTGCGGCACTATTCACAATAGCAAAGACTTGGAACCAACCCAAATGTCCATCAATGATAGACTGGATTAAGAAAATGTGGCACATATACACCATGGAATACTATGCAGCCATAAAAAAGGATGAGTTCATGTCCTTTGTAGGGTCATGGATGAAGCTGGAAACCATCATTCTCAGCCAACTATTGCAAGGGCAGAAAACCAAACACCGCACGTTGTCACTCATAGGTAGGAACTGAACAATGAGAACACTTGGACACAGGAAGGGGAACATCACACACTGGGGCCTGCCATGGGGTGGGGGGAGTGGGGAGGGATAGCATTAGGAGATATACCTAATGCTAAATGACGAGTTAATGGGTGCAGCACACCAACATGGCAGATGTATACATATGTAACAAACCTGCACGTTGTGCACATATACCCTAGACGTTAAAGTATAATAATAAAAAAAAAGAAAAAAAATTTCTAATGTTAAATTCTTCTTGCACTTCTAGAATAAACCCTATAACGTCTTGACTCTATTTTATCACATGCTTTAAGATTTAGGCTTCTAAAATTTTGTTTTTAATGTTGCAGCAATTTTGCCATTCTCCTCCTCATCATCATACATCAGCAAGCTTTATTAGACATAAGCTGAATGCATGCAATATTTTGGAATTCATTTACATCATTTTCTAATCCTCACAATTATTCTTAAGAAAACTATAACTATCCTACTTTAGAAAAATAATTTAGAATGGTTAAGTGGTCAAATCACAAAATATTTTTGTGTAATAGGGTAAGAATTTGAATAGAGTTCTATTTAACTTCTAAGTCTACAATTTTAATCTTTTCATGTATCCTTCATATTTAGTGAAAAGATTAATCTGTACATTATTTCATAGTGGTCTATTTGTCAAATTTTATTATCAGGGAAATGCTTCCTATCTTTTCCAATGTTATTAAATATTTTAAATAGCATAGAATTAGAAATTTTCTCCATATGATATGATATCCATATCATAGGTAAATGAGAATTTACCTGTGCTATTATTCAAAAACATGCATTTTTGTTTACATTTTTCTCTATTAAATTTGTTTTTACACATTTTATTGGTATTTTGGGGAAAAAAACCCTTACTTTACATATCTATTAAAATATTTCCCTCAATTGGTTTCAGTTTGAGAATTTCTTTAACTTCTTGGATTAAATACTCATTTCATTTATTCTCTAAAATGATGATTGAGACTGTAAACAAAGCTCACACTTTTGCCTCATTCCCATATTCAATGTCCTGCTAAAATGACCCTACCCATGCACCAGGGATAAATAGTACAGTCAATAGACACATAAAGCTTGACAGCTACATACTGGAAATATAATCCTTGTCTGAAGATCACAAGGAGCAGCCTCAGCCTAACCGTGATGCCCATATAGCATGGCGAAAAAATCCTTTCTTGTTGTAAGCATTGAAATATTGGTGTTTTTTCTGAATTTTTAATTTTTGTGGGTACATAGAAGGTACATATATATTTATGGGGTATATATTTTGACACATGCATATAATGTGAAACAATCACATCAGGGTAAATGGGGTATCTATCACCTCAAACTGTGTCCTTTGTGTTACAAGCAATCCAATTATACTGTTATTTTAAAATGTACAATTAAATTATTACTGACTGTAGTCACCCTGTTGTGCTATTAAATACTAGATTTTTTTCAACTTTTATTTTTATTTCAATAGTTCTTTGGGTAGGTGCTTTTTGGTTACACGAATAAGTTCTTTACTGGTGGTTTCTGAGATTTTAGTGCACCCATCACCCGAACAGTGTACATTGTACCCAGTATGTAGTCTTTTATCCCTCACCCCCCTCCCAACCTTCCCCCTGATTCCCCAAAGTCCATTATATCAGCATTATGCCTTTGGATCCTCATAGCTTACTTCCCACTTGTAAGTGAGAACATATGATATTTGTTTTTCCATTCCTGAATTATTATACTTCACTTAGAATAACAGCCTCCAGCTCCATCCAAGTTGCTGCAAAAGACATTATGGCTTTTTATGGCTGAGTAGTATTCTGTTCATATATATATATATATATATATATATATAAATTTTCTTTATCCACTCATTGGTTGAAGAGTACTTAGGTTGGTTCCACATCTTTGCAATTGTGAATTGTGCTGGTGTAAATATGTATGTGCATGAGTCTTTTTCATATAATGACTTATTTTTCTTTGGGTAGATACCTAGTAGTGGAGTGGGATTGCTGGATCAAATGATAGTTCTACTTTTAGTTCTTTAAGAAATCTCCATATTGAATCCAACAGCATATTAAAAAGATAATACATCATGATCAAGTGGGTTTTATGCCAGGGATTCAGGGATGGCTTAACATATGCAAGTCAACAAATGTGATACATCACATAAACAGAATTAAAAACAAAAACCACATGATCATCTCAATAGACGTAGAAAAGCTATTTGATAAAATTCAGCATTTATTTATGATAAAAACTCTCAACAAAATAGGCATAGACGAGACTTACCTCAAAGTAGTAAAAGCCATATATTAGAAACACACAGCCAACCTCGTACTAAATGGGGAAATGTTGAAAGTATTCCCCCCTGAGAACTGGAGCAAGACAAGGATGCCCACTTTTATCACTTCTATTCAACATAGTACTGGAAGTCACAGCCAGAGCAATCAGACAAAAGAAAGAAATAAAGGGTATCTAAATTGGAAAAGGAAGTCAAACTGTCACTGTTCACTGATGATATGATTATATACCAGAAAACTCTAAAGCCCATCCAAAAAGCTCCTAGATCTGATAAGCAAATTCAGTAAAGTCTCAGGATACAAAAGGACTGTACACAAATCAGTAGCACTGCTATACACCCAAAATGACTAAGCTGAGAATCAAATCAAGAACTCAATCCCTTCTACAACAGCTGCAAAAAACAATAAAATACTTAGGAATACACTTGACCAAGGAGGTGAAAGACCTCTACAAGGAAAACTAGAAAGCACTGCTGAAAGAAGTCAGATTACACAAACAAATGGAAACACATCCCATGCTCATGGATGGTAGAATCAATATTGTGAAAATGACCATACTGCCTAAAGCACTCTACAGATTCAATGTAATTCCCCTCAAAATACCATCATCATTCTTCACAAAACTAAAAAAGACAACCCTAAAATTCATATGTAACTAACAAAGATCCTGCATAGCAAAAGCAATGCTAATCAAAAAGAATAAATCTGGAGGCATCACATTACCCAACTTCAAATTATACGACAAGGCTATAATTCCTAAAACACCGTGACACTGGTATAAAAATAGGCACATAGACCAATGGAACAGAATAGTGAACCCAGAAAAAAAGCCAAATACTTAGAGCCAACTGATCTTCAACAAAGCATACAAAAACATAGACTGGGGAAAGACCCCCATTCAATAAATGTTGTTGGAAAAACTGGCAAGTCACACGTAGAAGAATAAAACTGGATTTTCATCTCTTACCTTATACAAAATCAACTCAAGATGGATAAAAGAGTTAAACCTAAGGCCAGAAACCATAAAAATTGTAGAAGATAATATCAGAAAAACTCTTCTAGATATTGGCTTAGGCAAAGAATTCATGACTAAGACCCTGAAAGCAAATGCAACAAAAACAAAAATAAATAGATGGGACCTAATTAAACTAAAAAGCTTCTGGAATTTTTTTATTGCAATATAAGTAGCCTAAGCTGACTAATTCAGGAATCTTGAATGATTATTTTTGAAGTCAGAGTAAAAGACAGAAAGGTATAAATTTAAAGATGAAGGACAAAATAGATGTGGGATAGATAGAGTGAATTCAAAACACATGCGAAAGGTGTTCAGAAGTGTATATTAATTGGATTGGAAATACATGAAGAGTGCAGATTAATCAGGGGAGAATTTCATTCTTTACAATTATACATGTTTCCTTTGAGGAATGTGTCACCATTTATGTGTCCTCTTAATTTATTTCAACGCAGTTTTGCAAATTTCTTCCTGCAGTTCCTGAATATTTTTGCATTATTTAAATGAAAGATGTTAATTTTAAATATTTATATTTTTAAAATTCACCAAAATCGATTTTCAAATTGGTATGTTCAGATTGTAACTTTTTTTTTTTTCTGGACTGTCCTTCAAGCTTCTATTTGCAGACTCTCAAACTTTTTAAGTATGATGTTATAATCAATTGACAAGTTTGTTAAAGTTAGAAACTCCTGGGCCCCACCTCTTTAGTTGACTTGGATGTAACCTACAAATCTATAGTTTTAATAAAATATCAGAAAATTCTAATTTAAAGTAGATAAGTGTCCACAGCTTGAAACATTTTGCTTTCAAGTGGTTTCCAAAGGTTTCAGCTAGTTTTTTTTTCTTTCTTTCAAATGGTGAGAACATCCCAACATTAGAATCAGAATTTCCCTCTACTTTTCAGACAGTCAAATCCTCACCCTTCAAAAAGGCAACCAGCTCTTAAACTGAAAATTAAATTAAGCTTTGTAAGGGCAGAAACCCTTTTTTTTTTTTTTTTTTTTTTTTAGACAAAGTCTACTCTTCTACCAGGTTGAAGTGCAATGGCACAATCTCAGCTTACTGCCATTCTGCCTCCCGGGTTCAAGCGATTCTCCTGCCTCAGCCACCCGAGTAGCTGGGATTACAGGCACGAGCCACCAGGCCTGGTTAATTTAATTTTTGTATTTTTAGTCCAGATGAGGTTTTGCCATGTTGCCCAGGCTGGCCTTGAACTTTTGAGCTCAAGTGATCCGCCCGCCTTAGCCTCCCAAAATGTTGGGATTGCAGGTGTGAACCACTGTGCCCAGCTAAGGAAGTTTTATTTCTTGTTTACCTCCAGTCCTCAGTGTTTAGAACGACGAGTGGTACAAATCAATTTTTGTTGAATGAATACATATTTGCCTTTATATAGGAAAATTATAGTTTTCAAAATAATTTTGAAATGTGGCTTGAGATAATCCATCACCTTCCTCCTTTAATGGCCCCCTGTCCTTGGATATTCAGAAAACCAAAGCCCCCTGCTGTGGTCTGAATAAGTCCTCCAAAATTCATATGATGAGAATTAATCACCATTGTGATAGTATTAAGATGTGGAGACTTCAGGAGATGATTAAACCACTAAGGCAGAGCTCTCGTGGATGGGATTAGGGCCTTCATGAAAGAGCTTGAGGGAGCTGATTCCCCTCCTGTCCCTTCTGCCATGTGAGATGCAGCACTTGTCCCCTCAGGAGGATGCAGCAGCCAGAAGCCGTCCTGGAAGCAGAGAGCAGCCCTCACCACACACGGAGCCTGCCACACCTTGACCTGGCCTTCCCAGCCTCCAGTACTGTGATTAACAAATTTCTGTTTTTTCATAAATTACCCAGTCTCAGTATTTTGTTATACCAACACAAACAGACTAAGACACCCCCTCATTTTCTGAATGGAAAGGTATTATATATGAATGACCATTTCAGAGTCTCGATCTCCATAAAAAGGTGCACAAGTGTCTTTTTTACTCTCTACTTCTAAGTAAGTAAAAGGGAAAACTCATATAATTAATTAGGATTGAAAAAATTGTTCTTTTACTTTCTGTGGGCATGTTGTAATAAGTATTAAAAAGTCAGTTATTTAAAAATAAAAACCAAATCATAGTTTAATTTCTGAGGACAATATCTCTGAAGGTATTTGAAACTGTATTGCACACCATCATCTCTCAGCTGATTAGAAAAAGAAAATACTTGATTTTAAAAATAAAAATGCATTTTATCTTAATTAGCCAACATTCCAGAGAAAGAAATTAAAAATTGACCTCATCTGGGCACGGTGATTCACACCTTTAATCCCAGCACTTTGGGAGGCCGAGGTGGGAGGATTGCTTGAGCCCAGGAGTGAAACCCCATCTCTACCAAAAGTACAAAAATTAAGTGGTGTAGTGGTGGGTGTCTGTAGTCCCAGCTACTTGGGAGGCTGAGGTGAGAGAACCACCTGAGCCAGGAAAGTCGAGGTTGCAGTCAAGGTTGCAGTGAACCATGATTGCCCCTCTGCACTCCAGCCTGGGTGACTTATTGAGACCCTATTTCAAAACAAAAAAAAATAAAGAAACAAATACCAAACCAAAAAAAGCCCCCCCACAAAAAAAAAACCAAAAAACTACCACACACACAAACCCTCATCTATACATTCGAAATTACTGTCTGTCACATGCACACACCTCTCTGTTCCCCACTGTAATTTCTGTCATATTCACAATTTTACTTAGGTTCAATTTTCTAAGTGAACTTCTGGGTTCTTTTTCTCAGGAAAAAGTCACTATTATTTATTTTATTCAATATCTATAGAACAAACATACTACAAAATGATATATAGTAGATATCTAAAATCTATAGTACAGGTCATACACAGTGAACAACGAAGTACTCAGATAATCAAGTTTACCCCAAATAAATTGCTGTTATTTTTCTATGATTTTTACATAGTCGAGGTCATACTGTGTATACAATTTTACACGTACTGTTTGCTTAATTTAAAAATAACTTGCATTAATAAAATATTTATAAACATAATTTAAGGAATAATAAATATTACACTGATTGAAGGTGAGTGTTTTTGATGTTATATTTCTTGTCCATACATTAATCAAAAATTAAATACTGGGTCAATTGTTTTTTTGAGACAGGGTTTTGCTCTTCTTGCCCAGGCTGGAGTGCAATTGTGCCTTCTCAGCTCACTGCAACCTCTGCCTCCCGGGTTCAAGCCATTCTCCTGCCTCAGGCTCCCAAGTAGCTGGGAATACAGGCACCCATCACCACACCTGGCTAATTTTTGTATCTTTAGTAGAGACGGGGTTCCACCATATTGGCCAGGCTGGTCTCGGACTCCTGACCTCAGTTGAACCACTATCTTTGGTCTCCCAAAGTGCTGGGATTATAGGTGGTCGATTGTTTTTTGAAGCTACTCCTCATTAATAATGATTAAAAATATAATAATCATAAGTGGTGGCCTTGTTAGTCTGCTATTGCTATAAAATGCTGTGTAAATCTATGCTCAGCATCTTATAGTAATGAACTCTTATTCTCATGCTTAGAGGTCTGTAAGATAGCTGCCCCACCCGACTTATTCTGGGCCTGGTTTGGAGTTGTGCTGGCTTCCTAGAGTAGTTCATTCTCAAGTTGAAGTCTGAAAGCTCCCAGTGGAGCTAGTGGGACCATATTATTCCTCCTAGAGTCTTAAACACGGAATTGATATACTGTCACTTCCACTGATATTCATATGTTAAAAGCAGCTCACATGGTTAAACTCAACATCCAAGGGTAAACTCTCCATGGGGACTGGGATGGAGAGAGCAGGAGAGACTGTTTTCTAAAGTGGCAAATGTGTCAATTTATCCTCTTATTCATTATGGCAGGGACATGCTCAGAGTTTATGTAAAAATCACTTTAAATAGTTAAGGGATAAATTTAAAAGATGAGGTGCTTAAACCCCTAATTTGTAATACTCAAAATTATTTGATTTGCCAAGAGGACTTTGCTGCATTCCCCAAGTCTGGTGGAAAACATATGGTGCATATTTTGTAAAACTGGTAACACATTAGAAATTAAGCTATGTCTTCAGAATGAAAAAAAAATTGATAGTAGTTTCAAGTATTCTTATAGTTCAAATATCTCCATGCACTGATCAATAGGCACAGCTGTACTTAAAAGCAGACTCTTCTTTGATAAGGTGTTGAATGATGGGGTACATGTCTGAGAAGAAAGCTGAGAGGAAGTTTGAAGAAATATTTAGGAAATGAATGCTCTTTTAAGGGAAAGGTTTTCCTTTGTGAAAATGAGGTAGACTGTAATTTGGGTTGATCTAGGATGGATGGTTTGGTAGGCTGAATAACAACCTCCAAATATATTCACGTCCTAGTAGACAGAACCTATGAATGTTGTCATATATGGAAAAAAGAACTTCACCAGTGAGAATAAATTAAGGTTCTTGAGATGAGAACTTATTCTGGATTCTATGGGTGGGCCCTAAATGTAATCACAAATGTCCTTATCAGGGGGAGGCAGAGGGAGATTTTACTAAGAAGAGAAGGCATTATGATAAAGGAAGCCGAGACAGAAGTGATGTACTTTGAAGACAGAGGGAGGGGCCATGAGCCAGGGAATCCAGGTGACCACTAGAAGCTGTAAAAGGCAAAGAAATGGATTCTCCACTGAAACCTCCAGAGGGTGTGTGGCCCTGCCAACATCTTGATTTCAGCCCAGTGAAACCCACTGCTGACCCTGGCCACCAGAACTGTAAGAGAATAAGTGTATGTTGCTTTAAGTCACCAACTTTGTGATAATTTGTTACAGCAGCCATAGGAAACTAATACAGATGGTGCCTGAAAAAATTTGCAAAGTTTCCAAATTGACCAACATATTAGAATACTCTGCCCTGCAAAAATAAAAATCATACAATCTTGCATAATGTGCAATATTTGATTTTGATTAAATGAGTTTCTGTAAGATAAGAGTGACTGGCCAGGTGTGGTGGCTCACATCTGTAATCCCAGCACTTTGGGAGGATGAGGCATGTGGATCACCTGAGGTCAGGAGATCAAGACCCTCCTGGCCAACATGGAGAAACCCTGTCTCTACTAAAACACAAAAAAATTAGATGAGTGTTGTGGTGTGTGCCTGTAGTCCCAGCTACTTGGGAGGCTGAGGCAGGGGAATCGCTTGAATCTGGGAGGTGGATGTTGCAGTGAGCGGAGATCACACACACACCACTGCACTCCAGCCTGGCGGCAGAGCAAGACTCCATCTCAAAAAAAAAAAAAAAAAAAAAAAAGAAAAAAGATAAGAGTGTCGTCTTAGGCACTACTCACTTGTGGACATTGTTTGGTTTGAAGAGTAGGAAGGAGGGCTTCAGTTTGTTATGGGTTGAATTGTGTCCACCAAAAAGATGTTGACATCCTAACCTCTAGTACTTGTGAATGTGACTTTATTTGGTATATTAGTCAGGGTTCTCTAGAGAAACAGGACTATTAGGATATATGTATATATAAAGTGGAGTTTGTTAAGAAGTATTAACTCACCTGATTACAAGGCGAAGTCCCTCAATAGGCCATCTACAAGCTGAAGAGCAAGGAAGCCAGTGTGAGTCCCAAAACCTCAAAAGTAGGGAAGCCGACAGAGCAGCCTTCAGTCTGTGGCCAAAGGCCTGAGAGTCCCTGGAAAATCACTGGTGTATGTTCAAGAGTCAAAGAGCTGAAGAATGTGGAGTCTGATGTTCGAGGGCAGGAAGCATCCAGAACTGGAGAAAGATGGAGGCCAGAAGACTCAGTAAGTCCAGTCCTTCCATGTTCCTCTGCCTGCTTTTGTCCTGGCTGGCTGGCAGCTGATTAGATGGTGCCCACTCAGATTGAGGGTGGGTCTGCCTCTCCCAGTCCACTGACCCACATGTTAATCTCCTTTGGCAACACCCTCACAGACACATCCAGGAGCAATACTTTGCATCCTTCAATCCAATTAAGTAGACACTCAGTATTAACCATCATGTTTGGAAACAGGCTCTTTGCAGATGATGCAATTATGATGAAGTAATTAGGGCGGGCTGTAATCCAATATGACTGGTGTCCTCATAAAAAGGGGAAAGTTGGAAACAGAGCCAGACATATACAGGGCAAAGATGGTATAAAGACACAGAGAACAACATCTATAAGCCAAAGAACACCTGAGGCCACCAGAAGCCAGAAGAGACACACTGAACAAATTCTCACATGTCCCAAAAGGAACCAATCCTGCTGACACATTGACTTTGCACTTCTAGCTTCCAGAACTGTGAGACAATACCCTTCTGTTGTTTAGGCCACCCAGTCTGTGGTACTTTGTTCTGGCAAGTCTTAGGAAACTAATACAGAGCCATCAACAAGAATTTGTGCATTACAGCACTTTTTTTTTCCCCCAACCGAAACCATACCATGGGCAGCAAGGTTCTCAGGTCCTCTTAATTATCAGTCCTGAAGGATAAGGCCAAGACTTCTCCCTGGAATTTGTTTAATAAGTTTTGTTTTATTTTGTAAGTTTATACTTAAATTTTAAGTGTATGAATTCACAAATAGCTAATTCTATGTTTAGTTTGGCGAGTAGCTTTGCTAAGAAATCTAGTCAAGTTTCTCTGTGTTTCTTTCTACGCTTCTCTGTTTTTCATTTTCTTTTTCTCTTTTAAAGCATTATATCAGTAAAGCTCATATTTCATGGAACATGACACAGACAGGATTGCTTCTTAACAAAAATGGATTGGCATGGGCTATCAGTAAAGCTTCTTTCAAGACTGAATTTGAGCAGAGCTCATCAGATAATCTGAAGATCACAGAAGGCTAATCACAGAGTTAGAAAGCTCTTCATTCCATATCTTCATTTCCCATCCACCTATGTTTCCAAAAGCCAAAACCAATGTATGTGTTTTCAATTTTAGTGGCAGAGTGGACTCCTTTGATTTGGGTTGAGCCTCCTCGCCTGCTGAGTGTTATTTCACTTTCTGTGGTCAGAAAAAGACAGAAGACAAACTGAAGTTTTTACCTCTCAGCAGTCCTGAATACAGCCGGTTCCACAGAGGCTGAAGGGTTGAGATGAGGGATTTCTCTTGAGAGTCAGGCATCTTTACCTGCATTTTTTGTTCCCATACCTCTTTGTTATCAGATGGATGCCCTCTCAGTCTAAGGACTGAGGACTTAGCCCTCTAAGAAACTTCTGAGACCCTAGGGAGATTGTCTGAAAGGATATGCTCTGAGCAGCTTTTTCCCAACAACATGTGGAATGAGAGGTGGGTCCACGGACTATGCACTTCTTCTGCCAGCCAGATGCACAGTGGAACTGCGGTGGAAGCTGCCTGCAAAGACTGGCTTTTCCTTTAGTCTTACTCATAGAGAGTTCTTTTCTTTTCTCTCTTTCTCTTTCTTTCTTCTTTCTTTTTCTCTCTCTCTTCCCTCTTTTCTTCCCCTCCCATTTCCCTTCCCTTCCCTTTTCTCTTCCTTTCCCTTTCCTTCCTTTCCTTCCCTCCCCCGCCCCTTCCCTTCCCCAGCCTCACTATTTTGCCCAGGCTGGGGTGCAGTGGTTATTCACTTGCTTGATCATAGTGCATCACAGCCTTGAACTCCGGACTTCAGGCAATCCTCTGGCATGGCTGGGACTAAAGGCATGTGCCACTGTGCCAGGCTTAGAAGTTTATTTCTGAAACAAGCAGTGCTGAGGTGACAGCGGATAGAATGGAAGTGGGCTAGTGAGTGGAGGAGAGATGCTTATAAATGTAGTTCCTCTGGTGTGAAGAACTGTAGATCTGAAATGTGTAAAGTTATTGTCACCAGTTTTAGTCACACCTATTGCAGAGAAATGACATTTTCGGAGGGTTTAAAGAATAATTTGATGGGATTTAGAGCAGAGAAAAATTCATGTCATCTTGTTCATTCTGCCACTGCTCAGAAGTCAGGTAGCTGCAATAGCTAAGAGTTTTGTTAGTTTGCCATGTGCCAGATACTGTTCTATGTATTTCTCCTGAAATAATTCATTTAATCCCCCTAAAACCTTTTAAAGTGGGTGTTACTATTATAACTACTTTTACAGATGAGAAAACTGAGTGAGACAGAGTTTGAGTAATCACTGAGCTTGGTAATCAGAGGCAAACATGGCTTAACAATTTAGCAAACAGGAAAAATCGTTCTAGCATGGTCTTAAAATGCTGGGAACTTGCTTATAACTGTAGAAAATAGGCTGAAGAGGCATGCGAAGCAATAATATCCCTGACTGAGAAGATACTCGCTGAACCTTCCTTCAGTACCTGGAACATTGCTGTGTTTCTCACATCCAGAACCAGAGTGTGCATGTCTTGCGTATGTGTGTGTGAGTGCCTGGGTGTGTCTTGTTTGTTTAAATTTATATATTTTTATTTTGTTTGTTTGTTTGTTTATTGAGATGGGGTTTCGCTCTTGTTGCCCAGGCTGGAGTGCAATGGCACAATCTCGGCTCACTGCAATCTCCACTTTCTGGGTTCAAGCAATTCTCCTGCCTCAGCCTCCCAAGTAGCTGGGACTACAGGTGCGCACCACAACATCCAGCTAATTTGTTGTATTTTTAGTAGAAATGGGGTTTCACCATGTTAGCCAGGCTGGTCTCGAACTCCTGACCTCAGGTGATCCACCCACCTCAGCCTCCCAAAGTGTTGAGATTACAGGCTTGAGCCACCGTGCCTGGCCTTGTTTAAATTTATTAAGGATTAACAGCATCAGCACTAGTTTGTTTTGCTATTATAAAATATATTTTTTCTTTTTATATAGCAACCCTTTATTTCCCTAGGATGTATTGAGGATTGATTTATTGATTGATTCAGTACATATTGATTAAATGCTTACTATTTTGCAGACTCTGCACGAAGCAATGAGGACACAACAGAGAATAAGACACACATGATCTTTGCTCTCACAATGTTCACAGTCTAGCTTGCTAAACTAATGACTGTACCTGCTACATTATTGAGACAAAATTCAGCATTAGAGCACCCAGAGAAAGAGTAACTGAGCAAGGCAGGACTGAAGGAGAACACAGCCCTTTGGGGAAGCCACTCCCACTGCCCCAGAAATCAGGACAAGGGTCTAGTCTGAGTCTAGTCCTTGTCTAAAGTGTTATTTCTCAGTATTTCCTTCTCTTTCTTCTTAAGTAGAATGAACAAGATGCAAGTAGCCCTTAATTAGCCCAGCTAATGAAATCCCCTAAAAGCTCCATGATGCGATGATGTGGGGGGTGTGTGTGTGTTGGGGGGGAGGAGGGGGAAAGGGGTGTGCAGGGCTTTACAGTTCCCTGGCTTGTCCAGGTAGCTGGTCCAGTATCCTGCCACTTCTTTGATCATAGGCTTTGTCCTAAGCTGTAGCCGTTTACTTGTAGGGATGCAGATGTGAGGCTTTTTATTGTTTTCTGTCCATCCTCCACTGAAATACAATTAAAAGGGCAACCAAGGATCCTGAATAAATTGTGCTAGGGTTGAGGGGAGAGAAAGCAGAGGGGGCGCTTTGTCGGTGGATTAGCTTGTTTACGACAGAGCTAAAAACATTTTGTTTCAAGCTGAGTGTTATGCATTTGTCAATAAAACCGGGCTTGGAAAGGGCAAAAATCAGCCTGCTTGTCACAAAGTCCCTGAATGCTTAAGAATCCAGCCCCAGCAGAGGGGCTTGCAAATGTCGGTACTCATCCCAATAACACTCCTGCTCTGGCCACTCAGTGGGAAGGAGATGTATAAAGCTTTGCTGCAGCAGACCCCGAGATGATGACTTGAATTCAAGTAGTTATCCCAGAATGCACCGGTACGCGAGTGAGGAAATAGATAAGGAACGAAGTCAATACAGGCTGTGTTAATGAGCAGGTTGCATCTATAGGCAACCAGGTCTCAGTCTGGCTGGGGATCTCTGGGGGACAGCGTGGAACATGCCTCAAAGTTGTCCCACTGAAGAAAACAGGGAGCTCCAGTAGATATCTACCAAATTCCATTTGTTATTGGCACAGGGTTTTGCCTAGGGGTTCAGATTCCCCAGAACTCTTTTGCATGCAGAGAAAGCTTTGCAACAGAATAGGGCAGTGCTTGTGGAATAGAACACTGGTGTGTACTGAGGGTATAGGGGGAACACCGCCCTTGCTACAAGTGTGAGCCCTCAAGGCAGGAGAAGAAGGAGCTGATGATCTCATCAGAATTTGGACTGTATCACCCTTTTAGAGTTGCAAGGACCCTGAACCAGTCCTCTGAAAGTGGCTGCTGGGAAAGCCACGGCAAAGAAAAGCAGGATGCACTTAGGGAGCCTGAGAATCTGGCCCCAGAACTGGAGGAAGTCCAAATCCAGATCTCCTGGAGAGCAAGGAATGCACACCCTCTGTATGAGAGATTTCAATT